>NC_000003.12:105220725-105523755 GCF_000001405.40 Homo sapiens
AGAGCGAGACTCCGTCTCAAAAAAAAACAAACAAAAAAAAGAAGTCCCACACTTTTTAGAACCTAACCTCAGAAGTGACATCACGAAATTTTTGCCATAGTTTGTTGGTTGGAAGCAAATTACTAGGTTACAGCCCACTCTTACTGGGAAGGGATTAAACAAAGGAGTAAATACCATAAAGCGTGGATCATTGGAGCCTGTTGTAGAGGCTGACTACCACAGTGGTTTTGATAGACTAGTTCACCCTACAGAGAAGAGTGAAACTAGACCTCCCCCTGATACCACATAAAAAGATAAAATTCCGGTTAATTAACAATCTACTCGTGAAAGACATGAAAATAAATTTAGTATGAAGTATAAAGTTAGGAATTAAAAAGAAATTTTAAACAAAACTGCCAAAACAAAAACCATAAAGGCAAAAACATGAATTTGATGTTTGATTTGATTCTATCAAAAATAAAGATTTCTGTAAGACAAAAGACATGAAGAAAATCATTAATTACTAGATGATGAAAAGGGAGAAACTATTTTTAAATCCTAAATTTATAAGGGATTCATATCAAAATTATACTACAAACTTCTCTATTTCAACAACAACAAAAAAAAAAATCACAGAACCCCTCCAAAAAAAACGAGCAAAGGTTATGAAGATATAACTCAAAAGGAAGAAACGCAGAGGCTGACAATGTAGAAAAAGATGTTCAAATTCATTATTAATTCATGGAATACAAAATAAAAGCAAAATGAAATAACATTTTAAGTCTCTTAGACTAGTAAAAATTTAAAACAAACAAACAAACAAAAAAAAACCCTGCGCCTGTAATCCCAGCACTTTGGGAGGCCGAGGCGGGCGGATCACGAGGTCAGGAGATCGAGACCATCCTGGCTAACATGGTGAAACCCCGTCTCTACTAAAAATACAAAAAATTAGCCAGGCGTGGTGGCAGGCGCCTGTAGTCCCAGCTACTCGGGAGGCTGAGGCAAGAGAATACCGTGAACCCGGGAGGCGGAGCTTGCAGTGAGCCAAGATCACGCCACTGCACTCCAGCCTGGGCGACAGAGTGAGAATCCGTCTCAAAAAAAAAAAAAGAATAATACAAAAAAGTGGAAAGGAAGTATGAGTTATAGGAACCTTCTTATAGTAGAGCTAGCGATAGGGCAATCTGGCACTATTTAGCCATATTTGGTATATTTACACCATATTATTCAGCCGTTCAATTTCAGGTTCTTTGATCCCAAAGAAAGTCTCACAAAATTCCTTAAGGGGCATTTATAAAAGGACATTTATTGCAGAATTATGTGACTTGGCAAGTAATTGGAGGGAATCTAGGCACTCCTTACTGGTAGAGAAAACAGGCATAGTATGAAATATAGAATCTACTGAGCATTATGCAAGGATAAGATAAAAGAGAGTAGATATTCTACATAGCCACACTGAGGAACCTTAAGAATGTAGTACTAACTGGAAAAAAGAATAGAATGAAATATCTAACATAATACTTTTTAATGTATTAAAAACTGATATACATCAGAAAGTATATTTTTTACAAGAACACTTACAAACACAAATTAAACAAATTAGAATTATTGCCTAAGGGAGGGAAGTCAAAAGAAAATGTAAAATGATATATGGTAATGACCCTGCAAGCACTAATTGTACATCCATCCTTAAGATAGTAAGTATTGGAGAAAATGGATAGCCTATATGAGGCTGGTGGTGGTTGCCTCAAAAAAAGAAAATAAAAATTTCATGTGAAAAGTGTCTATGGATATAGGTGAACTTATTTATAACATGATGATAAATTAATAGGGCACTGTGAGGAGGTTTGGGAGGATGGAGAGAGGCAGGAAGTTGAGATAGGAGAAAGCCATCACTGAGCATTTGAAAAATACAGTACATGTGGGAATCAATTTGATGCCTGCAAGAAATCATATTTTTGGTGATAATCAAGGAAAAAAAGAAGTTAGCCATGACGAATTGGATCTTAACAGTTTCCTGAAGATAGGAAACAACCCAAATTCATCGAATTCAGCCCTAGGCTAGAATAAAAGATGACTAATGTGATGTCAGACATTTCTCTTAGCCTTTAGTGAGAGGTTCGGTAAAATCAGAGAAGCTGGAGAGCCTAAGCTTTGTGGTCCACAGGTAGAGGTGGGAGATGGTGGCAGCATTCCCTCCGGAAGGTGGCATACTGCTGCAAAATGGGATGTGGTTTTCGCGTGGGCATGCCTCATCAAGTTGTAGCCAAAGAGCGCAGGTGAACAACAAAACAATCTAAAATATAAAGCTTACGGGTAAAGGCACAACATCTGCTGTGTTCATTACTCTGTTCACAAAACCTAGGGGAATTAATAGAATAAGTATTTACTAGATGAATGAATTAGATAAAAAAGAAAAAACCGGAAACATCTTAACCAACAAAAGGGGATTAGTCAAATACATTATGGTATATATTTACTATGGAATTTGATTAAAGGAAAATTATAATTTGTAAGTATAAGAGTAATATGAATAATACTTATATAATAAAATGTTAAGACAGATTACAAACATAATTTTATGATCCCATTTTGGTAAGTAAATAAGTATGCATTAAAAAGTTGGAAAGACTGTACATTAAAATATTAACTATAGTTATTACTGGATGTTATTAGCAATGTTTTCTTTTTGCTAATATACATTTCGAATTTTTCAACAGCCAGTGTGGATCATGGTGAAATTTTAAAACTACAAAAATTTAAATAGATTTTGAGAATTGATACCTGAAATGTGAATAAATCAGTTAAAAAAAAAGTCTCATCTATACTAAGGATTTATATTTAATTTTTATTAATTCCAGTTAAATAGGTACAAAATATTTTAATAGTCTTCTCCTAATTTGCATGTCTTGACTATGTTTACTTGGTTAACAGCTCCAAAGCACTTTGAGGGCAGTGATAATATTTTTCTAGTATCCTGAGAGGTTAGTTGTTCAATAAATGTCTGTCGAGCTAAGTAACTCTTTTATAACATCCTCTAATTAATTGCTATGTTGTCCAGATTTTTCTCAAAATGCTAAGCAAACACTTTATATAATACCGATTTAAAGTTTTTTCACTTTTTCTGAAAGTTTTTAATTTAGTTGCAACGTATCTGCAGTTTTTAATTTAGCTTGCAATTTTTTTTTTTGAGATGGAGTCTCACTCTATCGCCCAGGCCAGAGTGCAATGTTGTGATCACGGCTCACTGCAACCTCTCCCGCCTGGGTTCAAGCGATTCTCCTGCCTCAGCCCCCCGAGTAGCTGGGAATACAGGCACCTGCCACCAGGCCTGGCTAAGAGACAGGGTTTCACCTTCTTGGCCAGGCTGGTTGTGAACTCCTGACCTCGTGATCCACCCACCTCTGCCTCCCAAAGTGCGGGGATTACAGGCATGAGCTACCGCGCCCAGCCGGTTGCAATCTTTTTATAGAGGCTAAAAACTATAGTATAATCTGTAGTTCCTTTTCCATTTGGGTATTTTCTATCATTTCTCTACTTACAAAGTGACCACTATAAGGTTCTAGTCAACAGTCATTTTTTCCTTTGTTTCTATAAAACAAAATTTTGTATTTAAAATTTCAATAAATCTACTTTTATTTATTTTGTTTTATTTTCATTAAAAGGAAGCTTTGGTTTTATTATTTTCATTTTACTCTAGACACAGACATTTAATAACTCTCAATTCTTTTTCAGAAAACTCTTTGATATTCTGACCTATTTATGCTCCCAGAGGCATTCTTAGAATTATCATTTATAAAGTCATGTTTATGCTTTCATTGAGACTTTACCAAAGCTATAATGAAAGTTGCGAACATCTGACATCTTTAGAATATGATAGTCTTTATATTCAGAAATACAGTTTGCCCCTCTGTTTATTTCAATATTCTCCCAATAAAACTTAGTCGTTTTTCACGTCATTTGTAGCTTTGTAACTTATTCCTAAATATTTACTAAATGTTTACTTTATTGTAAATTGGATTCCTTTTGCATTGTTTTCCCCATATACTTTCAATTTTATTTGTTATTATTTCCTTTTGGCATGTTGTTTTATTATTTTCCTGAATATGTTAAGTAGAGGCTTAGTTCATCTTTTTTATTATTATTATTCTTTACTTCTATACAAATTGTGGAATTTTGAGTAATAAATGTTTTACTAAGTGCTATTTTGGCAGCATTCCATACTTTTAAAACATATTGTATGTATATTTTCATTGCATTTTCTTGCTCTGGGTTCCTTCCCTGACCTAGGCACTTTTTTAAAACACTTTTAAAAATGTTTTTATGCATTTGGCTCATTTTAATTCCATTTTTATTATTTGTTTCTATTTTTAATGTATTGTAGCCTAAAATGTAACCCATAGGATATCAGCTTTTAAAAATCGCTTGCATACCTTTTCATCCCAGCATGTGATCCTTTTGAAAAGGGTTCTAGTATACTTGAAAAGCAAGTGCATTTCCACATCCTACTTCTATGCTCTCTACAAATAATAGTTAATTCTATTTTACTAATCATGATATTCAATTAGAATTCTGAGAATTTTTTGTCTCTTTGTTATCAATCTAATTAGGATAATCTTAATATGGCAGTTTCACTGACTTTTTCTCATTTGGATCTATTATTGAAGAACTGATAACCAGTCTTTTACTGTCTTACCAGTAGCATATGAGCCAGATAATAATACGAAATAATACGACTTATCATACAAAGTGGGAAAATTTTCACAGTGAAAAGAGATGCTGCTATTAATTATGCTGGACCAACAGTTGTAAACCAGGACTCTGAGCCAATCCAAGATAACTTTACTCTACCTGAGAGTAATCTCAGGTATTCACTAGGGATGTTCTACACTAGCCTAAAAGGTGTTTGGGCAGTCAACCAGGTCATATCTTGGAGGGTTTAAATGTAAACTACTCAGAGAAAAACGTAACAGAGGATGAAGAGAAAAAGAGATACATATTGAGAAAAGACACTAGTCAGACATCTTGAGGCAAAAGAAGTTACAATCAAGAAAATGCAATACCTGTAATCCCAGCACTTTGGGAGGCCAAGGCAAGTGGATCACCTGAGGTCAGGAGTTTGAGACCAGCCTGAACAATATGGTGAAACCCCGTCTCTACTAAAAATACAAAAATTAGCCAGGAGTGTTGGTGTGCGCCTATAGTCCCAGCTACTCAGGAGGCTGAGGCAGGAGAATTGCTTGAACTTGACCCGGGAGGTGGAGGTTGCAGTGAGCTGAGATCGCGCCACTGCACTCCAGCCTGGGCAACAGAGCGAGACTCTGTCAAAAAAAAATCAATAAAGAGGAGTGGGGAGAGAAGACATTTCTTTGGTGACAAAAGAAAAGGTATAATAGGAGAAGAGAAGACTGTGAAAACGCTCACAAGAAATTGTGGACTTACAGCATAGGGAGCAGCTACATCAGGGGAGATGTTACCTAGAATTAATATTAAATAACTAGTTGTCTTTGCTTCCTAAACTATGTTCCAGTTTCACAAGGCAAGCTATATAGCTACTGAGACATTTTCTGTTTCTTTATTTTTCTCTACTCATTCAATAGAACATTGGTTGAATTAGCATGAATGTGTATCTGTGACTTGAAAGTTGAAAAAGTTTCACAAAATTCTATATCTGTAAAGACTTAACATATAAGAGATGTCCAGTAAATGTCAGTTGCATGTGTTAATATGTATTTCACACCTATCAAAGGTGATAACACTGTTTGCTCTTAGATGAAGGAGCTGTGGGTGATTTTTGTTTTCTTCTTTTGCTTATCTTTATTTTCTAAATTCCTTATAATTAGTAATGAAGAGAGAAAAAATAAAGTTATCAAAATCAACAGGTGATTTGATAAGTTTGGGTATTTGGAGAAATTCTCAAATTTAATAGCTGAAAGAATTTTAGAAAAAGGAAGGAGTAATATTCAGAAAGTAAAGTTATCAAGAGGCAAGCCATGAAAATCAGACTACCACATCATTTACTAGAGATGCAACAGTTAAACCTACCTTCACTTACTTCCTGCTTTGGTACAATGAAGACAAGAGAAATATTTTCCCTATGGAATTGCTATATGTATTAAACGAGATAATGTTAAGTGAAGCACTTAGACCAGTGCCAGGCATGACATAAGTGCTCAAGGTACTGGCTATGAGCTAGGGGCTTAGAGAGCTACAGAGGAAATAGCAGCATCAACGACGACAACAACAATTAACAACAACAAAATAAAGAAGTGGCATAAATATAGAAGAGCGATTATCAAACCAGAACTGCCTTCCTTCGCTCCATTAAATCTTGGTCCTCAGCATGATTGTGACTGTTCTGAAAACCCACAGGACATATTTCAGTTCACAGAGAGGCCCTCCTTCTTAAGTGCTTCACCTCCCTCTTCCAGATTGCCCAGGCTAGAGAGATCCTGCACTGCCCTGCTCTGCCCCACGGTGCCAGCCAGATGTCTGGCTCCTTGAGATTTATCCTTTGCCACATACAAAGAAGCAAAAGTTTTCTGGTTACAGAATTATAAGATTTCATTAGAACAACACAGAAAGGTTACCCATGTGGTTGGTATGTGTCATTTTCGTTCTTTTTTAGCAACAAACCAAATGGAAAAATGTGTAAGAAAATATGCTAGAAAAGAATTTTAAAAAGGAAAAAGTATCTTGTGTATATGAATATACAGAGTTTAGGAGCAAGAGGTGTAGTAATAATAGGGAAAATTAGATGAATATTAACATCAACTTTTGTTATTTTTATTTATATTTCTTTTACAAGTATTATGCTGATAATGCTAGCACTTTAGATGCTACCCCTTAAAGCATGCCTATAAACAGGTAACATCTGTTTTCCTTAAATTCCTTAGACTTAACTCCTCAAAGATACAGACCATACATCTCAATATTTCCTTGCACATAGTAGGTGCTCAATACATGACAGTTAAATAAACATAGGAGAGAATAAACACATACTATAGACCCAGTCTACAAAATATTATATGAGCTATAAAGGAATCAAAAGTCTTTAAGATGCTTCGGGGAACTGCAGAGCTGTAATATATCTGGGCCGCCAGTAAAAGCTGACTGCTGAAGGTAAGTCTTTAGTAAACTAAATTTATTGGTGTTGTCAGTGCCTCTAAATTTCTTGCTCTTAAATCTAATATGTCACTCTAAAGCTCCTAATGGGGGCCTTTCATTTTCTTACCTGTTTAATTAGTTCCAAATTCCCAAACCAGAGGCAACACATTAACAACTGCAAAACAAAACAAAACAAAAATATCCTCATCTGAAATTTTATTTAGAGTATTGCTCTAGGCTCAAATTAATTCTGCTATCTCATAAACCTTACATGTGTCAGCTCCCTTTAATAACTGACTAACTTTAGTCAGTATCTATCATTTAACCAAAATTATAAAGAACTTACTTTATGCCAAGAACCATCTTAGGTATTTTGGATTAAAAGCTAATTTAGCCAGCTTCTTACATTTCTGGTTTTCTTTTGCATTATTAGAGCTTAACTGCTTGGTTCAGGACTGCTGCTTCAGATGATCTGGCTCTTGTAGTTTGAGTAATGCTAGCTCCTATAATCAATGAACTGCATATCAGTGGTGGCTTAATCCAGAAGAAATTTCTTTCTTTCTCACATGATGTTTTTGGTCAGTAGGTGACTCTCCTGTCATGTGCCAAGGTTCCCTTCCTCTCAGGCTCTACCATATTCAACTTGGATCTTAAAAAGTCACACTTGAGATCATCTCTATTCTTTTCATACTGAAGTGGAAAAAACATGGAAGATTGTGCATGGGAGATTTTAGTGCTTGCCTGAATGTGGTGCACATAACTTCTATTTACATTACTCTGGCTAGAAATCAGTCACATGTCCACACCTAGCTTCAAAGAAAGATCTAAGCTGTGTGCCCAGGAATGAGAGTCAATGAGTTTGCTAAATAGCTATCCAGGCTTCGACATATCTCTCAACTCTGTATACTGCAACTAGACAGGAGACACCACATTGCCACGACCCACCCAGACATCTGGGATACAACCTGTCAGCTGGGCTCATAGAGCCTCCACCTCCCACTTCCTTCATGTATTCCTGGGCCAAGATAACTTTCCTTCAGTGTTTTCCAATATTTCATTATACAAACTGTGCATGTGTGATAGGCAACCCTCAAGATGACTCACAGTGATTCTCACCTCTTGCTATGCACGCCCTGTGCAATCCTTTCCCCTTGAATATGTGCTAGACCTAACAATGAACTTCAACCAAAAAAAAAAAGAAAAAAAAAAGGTAGAGGCGATGTTATGTCACTTCCAGAAATAAGTTATAAAATGACTGATTTTCTTGATCACTCACTTGCTTTCATGTTCTGAAGGAAGTCAGCTCCCACACCATGTGCTGCCCCAAGGGTAAACACACACGTCAAGGAACTAAGGAAGGTCCCTGGCCAACTGTCAGTGAGAAACTGAGGATCTCAACAGTCAGTGAGGAACTGAATCTTGCCAACAACCACGTGTGCAAACTTGGAAGCAGATCCTTCCCCAACTGCACCATCAGATCAGACTACAGCCCCAACTCTGACATCTTTACTGAAACTTCACTCATAAGAAACCTTCAACTGGAGCATGCACCCAGATTCCTTATCCACAGAAACTGGGAAATGATTTTTTGTTGCTTTCTGCCACTAAGTTTGGGGTAACTCATTACACAATAATTAATAAATATGTTACTTATTGCCAATAGGGCTTCCCTCTTCCCTTAGCTGCTCTTGCAAAACACCTGTATTCAGATGCCTCCAAGATTGTGTTTCTGCAGAGTATCTGCATACATGGTCTGAGAATGCCACATATACATATTTTATACACATATATATTTATAGTAAATTATATACAAATGCATGCATATAATTTCAAAAAGTCCCATTTTTATACAACTTTTTTTATGTTCTTTTTAACACAGCAAAATTTTTACTATACAAATTTGATCTGTCTTTTTAAAACTTAAAATCTTCACAGTTACCTTTTGTCTAATATTTGGTTGTTAAAAATACAATCATGTTATGATACATTAAACTAATCTTGGAATATATATGAGAAATATATTGCCTAATTTAGGTTTAGATGAAAAGAAGAACCAAACAATACATAGCCAAATTATTGAGGACAATAATCTTAATGTATTCACTATTGTATTGCCTATAACTCCTAGCATAGAGTATAGCACATATTCTTTTTGGAGCAAATAATAAAACTTGTTCTACTTTAAGGTAGATTTTCTCACAGACTCTAACAAATTCTTGATGTGAAAAGAACAAAAATTTTAGAGCCATGCTTTTTCATCTGCAAAATATAGAAGTCAGTGTTTATTCTTTTATCGCTGTAAGGGTGCTGTGAAAAATAATGTGATAAAATGTTGAGAACAAAACTTTGGAGCAGTATCTTCAGGACTTTTTCTAATTTAAAACTTCTGGAGAGTTTGCAAGTAGATATTTCCTAAAAGGCAGCCTTACACAGTTTGAAGAACCTGGGCTTTGAAATCAGAATATGTCATCCCCACTCTGGCATTTACCTATGATCTCCAAAAAGTAGCTTAACTTCTTTGAACTGTTTTCTCCATCTGTAAAATGGAGATTGTATTGTACCAAAATAGCTCGTAGTGATGTTGTGAAGCTCCAAAAAATAGATACACGCCATTATTTTATAAACTATAAAACACTATATAAATGTTAATTATAATCATTATTTTTAAACACAAGTGTTCCTGTATAGGCAGATATATAAGCTCATATTTTCACATTATTTCATTTTTCCAGTTGATAATAATAATAATGAACATTTGTGCATGATGGCACATGCCTGTAGTCCCAGCTACTTGGGAGTCTGAGGCAGAAGTTCTAGTTCAGCCTAGGCAATATAGCAAGACCCTGTCTCTAAAAAATAAATAAATAAATAATAAAAAGTAATAATAATGAACAAAGAACATCTTCTAAGGGCTAGATACTATCCTAAAATCTTTATATGTATTAACTTTACAATTTAAAAATCTGAGGAAGAGAGATGTTAAATAATTACCGAAAGCCACACTGCTAAAAATTATTGACAGAGCCTGGAATTAAACCCTAGAAATCAGCCGCTAGAGTCTGCCCTTAATGATGGCACAATATCACATTCCAAATAAATTTTATTATGTTTGCAGAGATGTGTTCACACATACATACAAACACACAATATTTTTTAAACTACAGCCTGTATTACATGCAGATGATCTTGGGTTTTCTTTGTCTTTTTTCTCTTCTGGGATACTATATTACACTGAATAGTCATGTTCCCTCAGGCCCTTCTGGCTGTGACAGTTTCTCAGACTTTCTGTATTTGTTATGACCATGACAGTTTTGAGGATTACTGGTCAGGTGTCTTGTAGATATCCTTTAATTGGGATTTGTCTTATTTTTTTCTCATTATTGGGCAGGGGTAATGTGTTTTTAGGAGGAAGACCACAGAGGTAAATGACTATTCTCATCACATAATATCACGGGCATATACTGTCAATATGACCTACCACTGTTGATGTCAACCTTGATTATCTGGCTTCAGATACGATTTTTCAAGTTTCTCCACTGTAAAGTTGATTTTTTTGTCCAGTTCCCATACTGAATTCTTTGGAAGAAAGTCACTATGCTTAGCCTCCGCTTAAGAACTGGGAAAATAGTCTCTATCTTCTAAAGAGTTGAGTACCTACATTAATTATTTGGAAATCACAGGAGATTTGCCTGTTCTTTCAAATTTATTTATTGGTCCAATCATTTATTTAGTCAGCATAAGACTTATGGATCTTTATTTTGTAATTTGGATTATAATCCAATACTACATCAATTTTATTGCCCAGATGGTTTTAGCATTGGCCATTGGGAGCTCTTTTGGTGGCTTCTGTGTCCCTTTGACATACAGCCATCATTGGGGAGGTTGTTTGATTTACTTGGCTTGAATACATTTTTGCTTTCTGGCACAATATGTTTTAGAATTCCATTAAAATAATAATATCTCCTGCAAGATTTTATTTTGAATTCTGGCTTATACCAGAAAGGAAGTAGGAAAGTATGAGCCTAACCACTTCAGCTCCCGTCCAGTCTTATTTAGAAGGATCTCATAGTCTCTCTAACACTTCCCTTTTTAGGCCAATTGTTTGGGGTCATAAGTTCCTCTGAGAATCTGATTTTAAAAAAACATAAACAAAAAAACAAAAACCTGTGATCCCCACGAAATGCCTATGAACACTCATCCATTAGATGTACATGAGCTCTTCTGGTTTCACAAACCAACTAAAGCTTACCCATGCACCCTGCACTAGGGCTGGCGCCTCTATCCAGAGGAACATGCAAGCAAGCATCTATTCTGGAGAAGGCCTTATCAACCTCAGAAGCTGGAGAAATAATCAGTTCCTATTTATAATCTTAGACTTTTAGGGCTAAGAACCATGAAGGATCATGGCAGTCCATTTCGATAGATGAAAAAGTGAGGCTTGTAGAAATAAGCTGACCTGCCTAGTACACTCTGTACCCACATGGCGAGCCTTGGCTTCTCTTCTGATCCCAAGACCATGGCTAGTTCCATCCACTGTGTTATTGAAGGAGGGTTTGACATTCCTGAATTTAGGGTAACATAGCATTTAATCATTTTGCTTTTTGACAAACTGCTGAACGAAAGTTTCCTTCAGATTCATACTATTATTTACCAACATCTTTCTCCCAAATCACTTCAAATGGGAAACTATAGGACAAAATAAACCACCATCCTTAGAAAGGCAGAAAACCCTGTTCTGAGGATCCGCTGCTCTCCTGGTATTTGCATTCCCTTGCTTCCCTAGTTTCACTCTCCCCTGTCATTATATAGTTTCCTTTCTCTCAGAAGTTCAAAGAGTTGGAACAGCTCAGAAGGAAATGAGAGTCTGAACATAAGTTTTCTGGGGAAGCACTTAAGAAAATAAGCCTCATATTCCTTTTTAAGTCATATCCCACTCAGTTTCCATGGTGAAGATAAACTCCAGTCTGGGATTTGGAAATCCATATTGTTGTGCCTGGGGCTAGAACTAGAGAAGCCAGGCTGGCTGCTCTAAGACTGGGGGAGGAGGAGTACCTAATGGCTTTATCTCCAACCACTTCCTTGAAGTGTCCTGTCATTTCAAATCTAAAACCTCCTTAGAATAACATAATTAATTAACAAGACTATTTGGAAAGAAAAGTTCTTGGAAGAGCAGTCCCAATGCCACCCACTACCCCCCCCCAAAAAAAAGCATTGCAGAGATGTTCTTATATGCACCCTTCAACAAACAAATAAGAACGGAAATGTCCATGAACCTGAATGCATAGAGCTATTTGGGCCTATTCTAATATGCTCTTCAATGAGATTTACCTGCATATAGCAGTAGAGAAATGGGATGAATAACATGAATATGTTGCACATTCAGTGTCAAGAATTTTTATCAGAAATAAGAATCTGGAATTCCCCAGCTCCCTGTTATGAAATGCAATTCAGCATGTCTATGGGCATGAGTCAAGACCAACTCTCAACTACCACTCTCATCTCCTCCTTCCAGTTAATTAAGTTGGGCTTCCAAGATCCAAAGTTGTCCCCAGTCATTGAAGGAAATAAATGGTACCTTACCACCTTACAGTGAAACTAGCAAGTAGGGAACCACAGCACAAATGCAGATTTAACACAACTAATCTGCAACTGTCACTTTATTTCAAATTAAAGCATTCAAGAAAAACAGCCTGCCTTCATGAAGTAGAAACATAAAGTCATAGCTAACATTAAAGAAGTCGCATGGAAATTATTTGATTTTTTCATGAGAGTAAATAATGGAAAAGACGGGATGTGCACCCAAAAGCATAGCGCTTTTTATCCAATAAGGATCACTGCAAGCACCTAAACCCAGAAAATCAATCACCTAAACCCAGAAAATAAATAATTTCTTCCTTCAAAAACAGGTTCATTTGAGTAAAAATTAGAGAAGATGGTCATTTTGAGAAGTTTTTCAAAAAAGAAAACAGGTTGAGCTATCTTTCTAGGTTATTAACAAATTGAAATTGAACCACAAAGAAAAAGGGAGATGCTATTCAATAGTTTTTGGTAATGTAATCCAAAAAAATCAACGAGTAAATTAAGATTCCAACATCTTCCAGTAAGTAGGTGAAGTTCAAGGTCTTTAACTGAAGCTGGAATATTGACATGTTAAAATCATGTTCCTCTCAGTGTACTCTGAGGGTCTTCATAGACAGCTGCATTAGAATGACATGGGGAGTGAGGAAATGATGGGGGGCTGCATGAAATACAGATTCCTGGATCCAGCTGCAGATCAATTGACTCTGAATCTCCAAGTGATTCTGCTACACCCTGAAAGGGGAAAATCTCTGCCTTAGAAACAATGCAATGTAGTGGAAAATGCCTTTTCAACTGATAATGTACATTCTTAGACAAAATTGGTTTTGAATTTATGATATGATATAGTTCAATTTGATCAGCCACTACACATCATAAATTTTTAAAACAAAATGATTTTCGTTAAGGCAAGCATCCACTGTGATAGTTGAGCAGTTTTATATCTGGAGACTTCAGAATATTCTTATAAAATAGGAAGTTGGACTCTTGGCAAAATGCTCAGTTATGGGTTTTTGTTTTGTTTTTAATTTTATAAGTATACATCTATCTAAAATATAGGAAAGTTTTAGAGTAGGTTACACAACTTATTCCTTAATTAGCTTTCTAGATCCCTTTCCAGAAAATATCCTTAAACGCACATTGGCTTAGAGTTGAGTTTTATTGATTCCCCAAACTTGAATGTGGTAAAAAATTTTTTCACAAGTTGCTGTTTTTAATTTTCCAATTTCCAAGAAGGTGTGATGACTAACAACACATATTCCATGCATTCTAAATGTTCTGATCTTTTAAAATTGCTCTTTGGCATTTTTGATCCAGGCAATAAGTAAAATCTTTATCAGGCAGTGAGTGAAAATTAAAGAACCTGTGAAAGTATAAACAAATCTTGTTATAATTATCACTAGGTTCTGAATCATTAAAACATATTTGTAGAAGCAAAATATTATGTGTTCCAAAACCCACCGCTCACAGATCAACAGCATGTCTTAGAAAGAGTGCCAAGAGCCATGGGTCCAATCTGAGCATGAGCTCTGTTTCAAGATGCAGAAACCAAGGTAAGAAACTAACTATGTCTGTTCTTTGCATCTTAAGCAGGCAAAAGAAATGTATTTCATGGGCTTTCACACTTTATTTGAAGATTATCATAAACTGAGAATTTCATACTGTAAAACCTCTAAACAGTAAACCTTTAATACAGCCTGTCATGCATTTCACAGCCTTCCATGAAATGGTGTCATCTGAATTTCTCCTGCAGGGTTGAAAGTATTAGACTTAAAGTTAAAATTCCACATTCTGGAATTAAGAATTATTTTGCAATGAGCAAAGCCCTCCTAGACAAAACTTATTTACATTGATCCTGTCAACACATTTTACTTGTTTTTTTAAAGTATTGATTTTAAGAACTACTATATTTAAATACACTGTTAGTAAATTTCAGGGTAGATTTGATTTACTGCAGCTTTGGGGCAAACTTTGCTTATCAAGTGTAATAGTGAGTAATCAGTATAACCAGAGACATGTGCTGTTACGTATATTTGTGTTAGCATTTAACTGATCTATGGAAACAATAAAATGGGTTTGGTAATCAAGTAGCGTTAGAGCTCATTAGAGGGACCTCACAGAGAAGCATCCTATCTAAAAGGGAGTGTCACATGCCTTGCATTTATTAACTAGAGTCATTTTTTAGCTTCTGCTTAGGAGACTATACTTCTAATTTGCTTAATTGCTACTGAACAAGACAGCTGAAAAGTGCACAAGGAGAATTAAAAAAAAATCCCTGATAACACAAGAAGTAAATTAATCCCCTCCTGAACAAATAAATCAAAATTTTAAAGATACTGAATGTAGACAAAGCCAATCCAAGGAGAAATTTCACTGTGAGAAATGTGATGAAGTAAAAAAGAACTGTATGTTCTCCACACAAAGCAACTCCACATTGGGTAGATAAAATGATGGGATAAGAGGGTTTTGTAGGAGCTCAGCCCTCATGAAGTTATCTAATGGGATAAAAACCTTAACAAAGAATTAAAACAAAGATGGCAGGCTTTAATTGAAAACTTGATCAATTAGCACAGAGGCCATAAGATAGAGGCAGCAGAGCATAAAATTTGATTAAACAGAACCATACATCCTGCTTTATTTCCAGCGATGTGGTGAAACAGATGACCTTGGAGGGGGAAAAAAAGATGTTTTTGAGGATGAAATAGTCCAGAATGGTGGTTAAAACAAAGTTCTTATGAGAAGTTTTGTGTATAAGAATGCTTTAAATTAAAATTCACATTTATATTCAAAGGAGAAACCACAGAGAAGTAAGTTTAGATAATTGACATATAATCCAAATTTATGACACTGTATCAGGGCAGATGGGATGCAGAAAATAATTTTATTTCATAAATGTGAAGAACTGAGCATATTATGGTTTGCTGACTACTCAAATTTTCTCGCTCATTTTGGCCCTATTTTCACTCATTCTGTAATGACAGAATGAAACAGATCCAAATTACAGACTTGAGCCCAGTTAGAACGAAAGTATGTGAAAAATCTCTCCCGAGAAGCCACTCTGTTATGGTGCTCAGCTTATTCTTTCAGAAGAAGGTGATGAGGAAGAAGAACTAGAGGAAAGCTGGAATATTCTTCCATACCTGCTACAATTTTGAATAAATTGTGTTCTGTGTTCTGTTCATTGACTGTCAGGAATAATAGCAAAAGTAGGCAAGAAAATTTTACATTCAAATATGAAATAGTTAATATTGAGACCATGTAACAATTTTTCCATCATTTTTTCCTCAGCTAGTTATGGCTGAGTATTCCTTCCCCTTTTCATTACTTATTACTTCACCTTATTTCATTTCTAATTTCATCTTGCTTTTTTTACTTTCATGTAATGTCCTCCCATCGCCTCCCCCAGTGCTTGTACACTTGTAGACCAGAGTTAGGTTTTGCTGCTGCCTCCAGGTAAATGCACACTTATTACTAGAAAATAAATGACATGAGAAGGGACTCCAGGAAAAAATAAGAAAGAAAACCATTAAGTCTATAGAAACAGAAGATATTTGAGGAGAAAGCAGCAACTTTCTACTTCAAAAACTACCAATAAAAGCACTGCTGCAAAAAAATCTGTTTCTTGCAAAGCTAAAGATGTTCAGTGTAAATGGAGAGTAAAAAGGCTTGCCATTCTGGTCTGCAGAGAAGACAGAGACTAAATGAAAAATCAGTGGTGTTCTTTACTCCATAAGAGCACCCCTCTTCACCCATGCATTCACACTCACAAGAGGCTATGGAAGTGGCAGAGACTCATGTCAGCTGTCACTAAGGGAGACAATGATTCTGCCAGTCAATATTAAAATGTATCTGCAGGCTCAGATGAGCATACTCTGCTCTTAAGCCTATTACTGTTTCCAAAACAAAAGAATGCATCTTCTTTCTCCTGTCGTTTCAACTGCCTTCAATCTTTCCTTCTCTGATTCCATCCATAGCCCATTTTTTCCTCATGATTTTTCCTGTATAAAAATGTTAAAGCAAGAGGACAGAGCAGCTACACCACCCAGACTATACCCCGACTCTAAATATTACACTAAGTACCAGATTCGAATATTGAGTGAGCAACCTCACATTTTAGCAGCTCATGCTTCTGTGTAATGAGGATATACACCAAAATCTACAAGTCTCACAGGTGGATTTACTTATACATTGGGCTCTCGAAGAAACACCTGCTTAGCCTTTATTCTAGAGATAAATGTGGCCTCTTAAATTAAATAATAAATGTTAAGGTGAATTTTGTAAAGTTTCTTCCGAACTGATTCTCAAACTTGAATGTGCAGGTGCGTCACCTGAGGATCTTGTTGAAAGGCTGAATTTGAAGCAGCAAGTCAGGAGTGGGGTCTGAGATTATGCATTTCTATCAAGAGGCCTGCTGCAGACTGAATATGCTCTCCTCATATTTATATGTTGAAATTCTAACATCTAATACGATGGTTTTAGAAGATAGAACTTTTAGGAGGTGGTAAACACATGAATGTAGAGCCCTTATAAACAGAACTAGTGCCCTTATAAAAAAGACCCCAGACAGTTCTTCATTCTTCTTTCTGCCATATAAGGACAAAATGAAAAGTTGACAGTCTGTAACCCAGAAGAGGGTCTTCACCAGAACCCCACCATGCTGGCACCTGATCTGGAGCTGCCAGCCTCCAGAACTGTGAGAATGTGGTTTATAAGCTACCCAGTCTATGGTACTTTGTCATAGTAGCCTAAACTGACTAAGCCACTTCCAGATGAGGCTAGGCTGACAGTGCTGGTCTGGGCAGCAAGAAGCTAGTATACCTATGTTCTGATACATAGTAGGCATTGGATAAAAGCTGGTTACTGATAATGTTTCTATGGTTAACCTAAATAATAAACAGAGACAGGCTATCTAAAGCAAAACGCTATTTATTTGGGAATGGAGCATTGCAGTGGGACTACATATACTCTAGTAAACTATGTGCATATTCAGGAGATAAAAGAAGACAAAAGTTTTTAAAGGAAACATGAGAAGATTACATAATTGCTTTGAGATAATTAACCTTGGCTACAAATCAATAACAAGGATGACACCAGTATGAGTTTGGACAGGCAATTGCTGGGCAGATGTCCTTGCAGTAGTACTTTTTTGTGTAAGATTACAGTGGTCTTTGTGCAAGGTTGCAGTTTTTGCAGTCTTTTGTGATGGTTTTCTTAACAGAAATATAAACACGAGAACCTTCTCTTCACAGACTTCCCTGGCTGTATTTGTCAGGATTTTTGTTTGTTTTGTTTTTGAACACAAATGACTCCATTTTGATTCTGATGTCTTTCATACTATTGATATTTTTAGAGCTTCTACTCTAAAGTTTTCTCTGAAACAGCTCATGTGAGCTCCTAGGATGAATTCCTACTACCTATATCTTGATTCCTAGCATTAATCACATCATTTCCCACTAGAGATTGGCCCAAAGAATGTTAAAGATTGCCAACCCAATGAACAGGGTTAATTAGAATAAAAGCTGCAAGCCTCACTGGGTACATGCAGCTCTTTCTTGCATAATAAAAGCTGCCTTCCTTCTGATGCTGCAAACAGATAGCACACATTTTCATTCCCAAGTGGTATCACTGACAATTTCCATTAAACAACATCTAGCTGGAAAATCTTTTTCACTTCCTGGAAGTCCTGTACTATTCTGTATCTTCTCTTTGCATTTAAAGCGAAAAGTTAAAGTAAGGTACAGCCACACAATTTCTTTTTTAAAAAAATTATTATACTTTAAGTTCTAGGATACATGTGCGGAACGTGCAGGTTTGTTACCTAGGTATACACGTGCCATGGTGGTTTGCTGCACCCATCAACCCATCATCTACATTAGGTATTTTTCCTGACGTTATCCCTCCCCTAGTCCCCCCCATCCCCGACAGGCCCCGGTGTGTGATGTTCTCTGCCCCATGTCCATGTGTTCTCATTGTTCAACTCCCACCTATGAGTGAGAACATGTGGTATTTGGTTTTCTGTTCTTGTGTTAGTTGCTGAGAGTGATGTTTTTTTCCTTCAAAATTTTGCTTACCCTTTGATTCTATATGGTAAACATCCAGCCTACCTGATAGCTTCTTTATTTTCTCTCAGGCATCTGTTGTTGCCAACACCTGACTTTGTGTATTAAAAAGTTGTCTATCTGCTATGCACTAACATTACCTGAAATATGTCACACCAAGTGAAGCATGCATATGAGCACTACCTTCCAGGACCAAACAGAGGCCCACTGTTGCAGAAACCCAATAATAAAAGTAATCCACGTGGTGGGATCAGTTGTACAGTATTTTGTGAGCACTGTTAGTTTAAATGATCAGTTTAAAATCAGTGTCTTGGAAAAAAATAAAATAAGCATAACATGATGATAATTTTTATGCATATTAAATTGCAGGGCTCATGAGATGGGAAACTTTTTAATGTGTGTGGGGTTTTTTTAGAACCACTTATAAGCTAACCAAATTAAAAGATTCAGCGTGCGAGCAAGTGAGAAAGCGACTTTGTGAAGGGTGCCAATCTAATTACAGTACAGCATGTCCCTAGAGGCTCATTGGGAGCTGCATCATCACTTATGTATGTCACCTTAAACCAGTTAACTGACTCTCCACCATTTTTAAGAGAAAATAACATTGCTTTAAAATTCTTCCTCATTGGGTGATACTGACATTTTATCGTTTATAGGATCATTTTTCTTCTGTTTTCAGATAAATTGTAACAAAATAAAATGGAAAGACCTTAAGTTTCTGTAATGTGGAATGTAATTTTCCTTTTTCTCATGGTCCTTACTTCTCCAGTATTCATTTTTATCTTTAACTGAGATATTTTAAAGTTCATTCCCACCCTCACAATTTTGTTTACTCCTCACAATTTCTCCCACAATCACTTTCACTTTAATGTACCAATCTCTGACTTGAAAATTCAAAAAATTTCCAGTAAAAATTGTCTTTTGTCTTCAGGCTGATCACATGCAATGCCTTTTGTGTCTGTCTACTGAGATGCTGGGTTTCCTGCCTTCAATTTACCATCAGAATCTGAATTTCATGCCTGTTGCTTTGGCTTTAAGACTCTATCTTGGTACTGTGGCATTTTGATTAATTCTCAGAGCAAACTACAAAATAAATATATGCTAGCCCAACAAGAAATCTATGTAATCACAGGCATTAATATTTTCAAGGGTATAGAGTACAATGGAAATCCCCAATTAAAATTCCATTTGTTCTAAAAGTTGGTTTTTAAATCTGTTTTTTCAAAAACATTTTATTTTATGGGGAATTGGATTTCACTAGTAACCGTAAGAACAAATATACTCTTTTAAGTCATGGTTCTAAAGGGAGTTGTATTGATATAGATTTAAAACCCAATTTTTCTCAATTTATGACAACACTACAGTAACAAAAACAAAAATTTCATGCTAAACAACTCTTCACAAAGCCACTACAAAATTTCCCAAGCTAGTCAATACCCTTCACAATATTTCCTTTTTTCCGGGTGTATCAATGTGGCAAGAAATAATCAGATAAAATAAAATAATGAGAGGCAGAAAGGAAAGAAAATCTGGAAAAGGAAAAAGAATATGTGACCAGAGGATGGAAAGTTGGAGCAAAATGAGAGACAAATAGGAGAAAGAAATGGGAAAAATGAAGCAGAACTAAATGCAATGTAATATCCTGGGTTGGGTTTGGAAGAGAGAAAGGATGTTAGTGGAGAAAACTGGCAGAATCCAAATAAAGTCTCTAGTTACAATAATGCAGCAATGCTAATTTCTCTTTAGCATTGATTTGACAAAAGGAATAGGATTTGACAAGAGTATCATGCTTTTGTAAGATATTAGCTAAGAAGGAAGTGAGTGAAAAGTATAAGGACTCACTATCTTTGCAACTTTTTTGTATATCTAAAGGTATCACAAAATGAAAAGCTTTTGTTTAAAAATGAAAAAGAATTAGACAAAGAAAGAAAATAAAATATAGTCAACTCACTTTTTTGTTTGATTTTTAGGGAAGGCAGAAAGAATACAGTGATAAGAAGACAGGTTTGGTTTGGTTCTGGTACCAACAGATCATAGTGACTTGACATAAGAGATTTGCAAACCTCAGTCCTTCCACCTGTAAATTACGAATAATACATTGACCCTTGAATAACATGGGTTTGAACTATGTGGTTCCACTTATATGTGGATTATTTTCAATAAATATTTTAGAAAATGTTTTGGAGATTTGTCACAATTTGAAAAAGCTTGCAGACTAATTGCGTAGCCTAGAAATATCCTAATAATTAAGAAAAAATTATGTCATGAATGTGTAAAATATACATAGATACTAGTATATTTGGGTGTTAATTGACTTTATGTTGCATGTTATCAATAAGCCTTCCAGTCAACAGTAGGCTATTAGTAGTTAAATTTGGGGGGAGTTAAAACTTATACAAGGATTTTCAACTGTGCAAGGGTTGACGGCCCTAACTCTCATATTGTTAGGGGTCAACTATATCTGTCTCAGAGATTCTTGTGAGTTTTACATGAAATAAAGTATAAAACGGCTTAAAGCAATCACTGCCAACTCTCAGTCTTGTATTCACACATAGAGTTGCAATTTGTCTTTGAAATAAAATTGACCTGCTAGTACATTTTCTCTTCAAGTTCAATCTAGTAAGCTTTCTCGTTTTATTTTATTTTCAACTTTAAAGCGCTATCTTAATAGCAATTCTTTTATTCTTCCTTATCTTAAGATATAAATGACATAATTTATTTCTATGACTGTCGTCTTATAAACAGAAATGATATTTAAAATATTCGAAAACCAGTTTTAACCAATTACAACAGATTCCACAACCAATCAGAATAGACACCAGCCACAACCAATCAATCAAGCCAATAAGGAATATACTCATGACAATCAGCTTTAATTATAAGATTCGCAGATCACAGTGGCTGCCAGTTCATAACCATTACCTCAAGGGAGAAATCTGTATCATCCACCACCTCTCCATTTTCTTTGTTCTAAGAAGGGTTTTGAATTGGAACCCTGCCATTATCTTGGACACAGTGCTAGATCTAAAGGACAACAGCTGGTCTGAGTGGAGCCAATAGTTATACCTCATTGCCCGAGCAACAGTGATTACTCTGAGGGGTGGACAGATGACTTAAGATGGCACTGAGAAGATTCCGCATCCTCACTCATCGTGGGATAAGGCCTAGGTTGTTTTTTCCAGGGAACAGCATGTGAATCAAATTGAGCCAAGCAGAGAGGTTTTTTTTTTTTAAATAATTTTCCCAAACATGGCCTTTCTTCTCAGGATGAGACTTTGCAAGGATATGAGTGTAAAAGCAGCTGAAAAATCATGGTTTGTTATATTTTTTTACAGTTAGTTTCAAAAACTAAAATTGACACATAGAAGCAAAGATATGGAGAGAGAAAGAGAAAGCAGGGGAAGAGCAGTTAAGATCAATAAAGTTTTCCTCTTTTTGGTCACGACTAGTTTAAATTAGGTTTCAGTCACTTGTAACCGGAGTTCTGTCTGATACACCCCTCCATATGTGTTCCTAAATCCTATCCACTGCCAATTCCTTTAGGGTCTTCCATATACACTCAATTATCCTTTCCTCTCTCCAAAATATTTCATCATTCTTACTTCAGTGAATTCTTCTGTCTGCCTTGAAATATTCACTTGTCTGGATCCCTCACCTTGAAATAAATCTTCATATGACTTGTAAGCTCCTCAAGTTACACTCATATTTCTTTCTAGCTGTTTACAACCAAACTTCATGAATACGGTTTTATATTCTCAACTCTCATTCCTTGACTTCCTATAATGTGACCTATTTTCAGTACTCAGAAGTATACTTCCAAGATTTCAAAAGCCTTCAGATCAGACTTCTGCTTTTCTTTTTTTCTTATTCATCATTACAAATCTCCATCAGAGTATATATACTCTATTATAATACATTAACTATAGCACTTCTACTGGATGGTGATTAAAACAATAGGCTTAGCCCTGAACATATTTGTAAGTTCTAGAGTCTCATCAACTACCTACCATATGTTTACGTTTAGGTATCCCACAATTACTTTAGAATCATGATGTCTATAAATGAACCTATCTTTATAAACCAAGCTTACTTCCCCTGACTTTTTTGTTAACCCATTAGGAAAAGGGTCCAGCAACTTTTTCTGAACAAGGCCTGATAGTAAATACTGTAGGATTTGCAGACTATACAAATATGGTCTGTGATCCAACTGTTCAACTCTTCTGTTGTAACGTGAAAGCAGTCATAGATAATGGTCATCGAACTCTGATTTGATGCATATATAGTGTTATCCATGTGAAATTTGTTCATATAAGAAGACTTCCTGTGCAAAATTATAGGCTATGATCTCTTTAAAAGAAAGAATTGTCATTTATTCCCTTTGTATGTCACAGCTCATTATACCATGACTTGCACAGAATGGAAGGATAATTAGCAAGGATTTCCTGGAGTAATCTGTCCATGCTTTTTTGTTGTTGTTGTTGATTCCAGGGGTTGCACAGAGTGAACATCATCATCATGCAACAACAAAAAATCAGCATAAGATCTAGAAGTTATATGAAAATAGTAACTTCCTAACTGCTATATTTTACTTGAAGAGTGGAGAAAACAATCTCTTAACTGCTAATGTTGGCTTGGAGGGAGGAATGATGTGGAAAGTTCTTGGTAAATAAAAATTTAGTTTGTAAAGAAGATATGGGAAACATCATGAATACAAGATCTTTTCTACAGGTTCCAGAATCATCAATAATCCTAACTGCACTGATTCTTCCTGATAATGTCATCTAATTTTTCATATCTAGTTGGTACACCCATTAGGAATATAACCAATAACCATATGGTGAAGAGTTTAAGTGCTATTTGTCCTTTAATGGGGGGTCATCAATGACTTTTTATATCTATCAAAGACTAAAATAATCCCTCTAATCCTCAAAGCCTTGACTTTTATAATTGCTTACAAATTCATTTTCACTCTGGGAAAAGCCATAGCTACATAAAACAACAAGAAAGATAAATCGTAATCAATCTAAACAAGAATTTAATGTAGTGGAAATGAAAAGAAAGAATCATATTTTAATGACTTCCTAGATCAAACAATCTGAATGAACATACTACAACCTATAGAGTTTTGTTTCCTAATGGGTATTAATTTTAGACTTCTTATAGTTTCTGGCAGATATGTGTAAAACCCAGCCATTATTTTTAAGTATGTTACCCATAGCATTTTCCAAGTATAGTAGCATAATAAGACATGCAAATAATGATCTAAGAGCAGGAAAGAAAGAGGTTAAACCTCTATATTAGTGGGAATTTTCTGCTTTTAGACTAATCAGTTATCATTGAATAAGTTTTAAAATGTAATTTACTGTTACTAAATGGCCTACAATTTAATATTTCTCTGAAAATTGGTCAGAGGTTACAACTCTTTAAAATATTAAATCAGTTACAGGACATCTGCTGACCTTGTCACATTGACAATAAGATTCTTCAGATCCCTAAGTTGTCCAAAAGCATTTATGTTTTGATAGATGAGTAATGGAATATCTGGTATTTTCCAGTCATTAAATTAACCTCTTACTCAAAACATGTCCCCAAATTTTTCACTCAATATAATGTACATGCCAATCTTTCACATATATATGCTAATACTATAATTTCAAATTTGCAAACATTGTAAAATATTAGTTGATTCAAATGAGATTATATGTGCAAACAAGACGAACCTTATAATGTAGCTTTGTGCCAAATATCCTGACTTTTTCTAAAACACTCAGGAATGAAGTCAGATTCTATAAAGCCCAAGCTTAATTGAACGAGTTGAAACTGATCAGGACAAGACATCACCTTGTATTACGTTTAGATATGAACATTAGGAAAGATGAGTACAGTCACAACACTGGTAGAGCAATCTAGACTAATGTTATGCCATATGCAACTGGCTCATGACAAGACATTTATAACACAGTCGGGAAGAAACATTTCCCTAATTCATCTATGACCAAGAAGTTTCAAAATGGAGTCATACTATTAAAGGAAGTAAAAAATCTTGATTGTGGATTTAATGATGAAGATCTGTGTAAAGCCATTACTAAATACAAGGAAGAGAATAGGAAAACTATTATTTTTGTTAAAAAGGGAAAAATCAAGGTAAAAACATGGTTCCTCCAAAATTTGAGATAAGTAAGAGTGAGATATTGAAAACCTTAAGGGACTCAAAAATAAATTTCCTGTCCTGGAAAGGGAACTCAGGAATGGTCATTAAAGGAGATCATTTCAGAGAGCTAATAGATCTCTTATAAGTCAAAAAAAAAATTACCACTGTTCTAACCGATCAGGACCTCTGTGAGGATGAAACCAAGTTAATGGCTAAATATGTTGTTGGAATTCACTACTGGAAAAAAAAGTGAACAAAGGTTACCATCTCTGTGGAAAATAACTTGGTCACTACTTGCATTGAGTTAAAATATGATTTAAAGAGTATTTCTCTAACACACAGTGCTTCCCTAGTAGGGAAGCAGTTGACACACAGACAACACATGAGATTCCTAACCTCAGATCCTGCCTTATTCCTAGTTGATTAAATTATGTGAGAGATATTTCAAGTGAAGACAGCCAGAGAGAAAAAAATATTTACTTTCTACGTTGTACTGGAAACCATAAGGAGTTTTCTTCAAATCATATGGATGAAAAAGAAGCTGTAATTTAGCAATTTCTAATGAGCTATGGTTCTGTCTGAGCCTGAGTTTACGCTTTGATAAGGTTCTTTAAAAATGCATTTCCAGAGATACACTTTCATAATGAATAATTTATTTTTATATATGTAATTTATGTGAAAGATCAGCAGGGGAAAAAAAACTAGCATCATTCTAATCTCAGAAAGTATTTTTCCTTTTATCGATACATTTGTGTGGTCCTCTAAAAATCCCTGCAAGTACCACAGCTATAGACTCATGTCCTTAGGAGTACACGTAATATGCACACTTTGATGCTCTTATTGCTTAAGAAGAATATTTTCCAGCTGTGCTTTTGCATTAAAGAAAATGACTCTGTTAGTATAAAACTCTCTGCCATCAAACCCCTTGAGAATCCTGTGGCATATGGTGCATCTCGGTGGAGTGTAGATTGGTGGGTGTGGCCCGGTGGTTACTTCTCTGGGGAGGTGCAGCTTCACTTTCACTCCAGGAGTCACAGTAAAAAGTATAAATTTGCATCATACAATAAGAGCATAAAAGCCTTTGCCAGCCTTTTGGCAATATCTTTTCCTTAAGCTGGCAAACAAAATTCAGCAGATGCTTCCCCAGATGATTCCACACTGATGAGCATTATATATGCAATCTATCTCATATGATTGTACAACACAGATCGCCATAAACATTCCATGTTTCACAGTCTGTCTGCCAACTGATCTATGATTCTTTAGGTTTCCTGGGCATAAAATCACTGTGCATTTGGTGATCTGCCCACTAATCCAGGTGGGAAAAATAAAGTTTGTGATGACAAGCCTTATCTTCCCTGATTTATTAGTATAGGTGTATGTGAAAAGGATGAGTTCTGAGCAAGCTTTCTTATTGTGGACAGCACAGATGCAAGAAAAGTCAAGACAAACTCAGATATCTTGGCCAGAAAATATTGAAAAATTCAGGTAATAGTATCTTCCTCTGCTCTGTGGCAGTTTAAAAAGCCCCATGCATCCAATTCAGAAATACACTGACCCATTGCTGGATTGGCATTCATCTGTCCTCCAGTCTGCTGTTCCTTCCAATCTAAACAATGCTGCATGATAAGAAAAAAAAAATAGTTTGTTGGAACCCAAGTGGCCTGGCTTCTAATCTCTTATCTGCTATTTATTAGTTATATGACTTTTGATGTATTTATTAACTTGGAATGTATAATAATAAGAATTTTTTTTGTGAGGCATATTATAGTCTCTATGAAAAAGGCACTATGAAGACCCTGAGTAATCACTTAAACTTCACCATAATATGAGATATAGTCTAATATTATCCCCTTTTAAAAATAAAACAATAAAGCTTAGAGCACTTAAATTACCTGACTAAGTCATACAGCAAGTAAGTCACAAATCTTTCCCACACTTATCTTTTCTTACATATCAAGGCTACCCGTGCCTAAAACCAGGCTTCATATCTCCTGCCTAAATAATAGCAAGAGCCTCTTGGGGATGAAGAAAATGGAAGATTCAAGAATTACTCAAAGGCTTCTAAGAAAGCAGATCATTGATAGTGCTTTTAAACAAGGTACACTAAATAGAAAGAACACACACACACACACACACACACACACACACATATATATATATAGCAGTGAGATAGAAGGAGATAATGAGTTCAGGTTGGGAAAATTTTAATGTACTATGTAATGTACAAGTGGGTAATGCTCATCAGGCAAGCAGGTTTAGGTGGTATCTGGATTCTGGCCAGAGCATGGCAATATACCATGAAAGTACATTACATTAAAAAGAAGAGGAAAAATGTACCAAACAAGACAAAGAACGTAAACTAGAAAAAAGTCAATCTTACAGAAAAGAATTTCCTCATAATTTCTCCATGTTATACAGAAACAATAAATCCATTGATTCAGTAAAACAAACACTCAAAGATTGGATAATGAAATAAAAGAATAAGATAAAAAGGAGTGACTTAAGACACAACAAAGAAAGTTGAAGACTAAAATAATCTTCTGTGTCTGAATATTTGTGGCCCCCTCCAAAATTTATATGTTGAAACCTAATCACCAAAGTGATAGTATCAGTAGGAAGGGCCTTTGGGAAGTGAATAGGTCATAACATTGGAGCCCTCAAGAAAGGAATTATTACCTTTATAACAGAGGCCCCAAAGAGCTGCCTTGCTCCCTCCACCACGTGAGGACATGGAAAAAAGATGGATGTCCATGAACTAGTAAGCAGGCCCTCATCAGACACTGCATCTATTGACATCTTGATCTTAGACTTCTGAGCCTCCAGAACTGTAAACTTCTGTTGTTTATCAGCTATCCAGTTTATGATGTTTTGTTAAAGTGGCTTGAAAGGGTTGATCTGTGCAGCAAACCACCATGGCATATACATTTACCTGTGTAACAAACCTGCACATCCTGCATATGTCCCCCAGAAGTTACAATAAAAGTTTCAGGAAAAATAAAATAAAATAAAATAAAAATTTTAAGTGACTTGAAAAGATTGACACCATCTCTACGTAACTGACAAATAAGTTAGATTCGCACAAAGAAAGCAGTAGAATAAAGGCGTTTAGAATTTGAAAAATTGAGAAGGAAAATATCATCAAACTAAATGTAGATTAAAAAATAGTTTCAAGAAACTAGACAGAAGCGAATTATATTTAAAAATCAGGCAAAATGTTCCATTATAATAACTGCTGTCGCTCTTAGTTTGTTTTCTGTTGCTAAAAACAGACTATGATACAGTTTGAATATCTGTCTGTCAAATCTCATGTTGAATTGTAATCCCCAATATTGAAGGTAAGGCCTGGTAGGAGATGCTTGGTTCACGGAGGCAGATCCCCCATAGTTTGGTGCTTTCCTTGGAATAGTGAGTGGGTTCTCATGAGATCTGGCCGTTTAAAAGTGTGTGGCACCGCCCCCTGCCCTCCTTTTGCTCCTGCTTTTTCCATGTGATGTGTCTGCTCCTGCTTCACCTTCTGCTGCTGTGAGTAAAAGTTCTCTGAGGCCTCTGCAGAAAACAAGCAGATCCCAGCGCCATGCTTCCTGTACAGCCTGCAGAACTGCGAGCCAGTTAAATCTCTTTTCTTTATAAATTACCAAGTCTTATAGCAATGCAAGAACAGCCTAACCCAGACTACTTGGCACTGAATAATTTATAAAGAAAAGAGGTTTATTTAGCTCATAGTTGGCCAGGCTGAAAAGTTCAAGGGCATGGCCCTGGCTTCCAGAGAAGGCTTTCATGCTATGCTACAGCATAGTACAGAAGTTCAAAGGGGAAGCACACATGTGCAAAGAGGGGAAAACCTGAGGAGCTCCTGGCTTTATAACAGTCAACTCTCACGGGAAGCAATCTATTCCTTGAGAACTAATTCAGACTCCAGAGAACAAGGACTCACTCACTGCTGTGAACATAGCCCCAATCCATTCATGAGAGATCTATAATAACACCACAACCCAAACACCTCCCACTAATCCCCCCCTCCCAAAATGACCACATTGGGGATAAAATTTTGGTAAAGACAAACTATTAATATATCCAAACCATAGCATTGTTCCTGTAGAAATCTATCCATAAAATGAATAAATAACAGACTTCATTCAATGATGTAGTTCAAGAAAATTTCCTTTGAAAAAAGAGAAAACTGCAGATTAAAAGAGCATACAGGAAAATTTAATGTAGACTCTTTAAACCAAGACATATTGCACTGAACAACTGAACTTCAGGGACACAATAATTATTTAGATATAAAGACAGGCTTCTGTTTCCTGCTGGGAAGGATAAGGGGGGTTAGGGAAAGATGATCCAGGATCGCAAAGAGACAGGAGGCTGCAGAAATAGACAGTATGAGAACACATGTTTATCTGAGGCAGACACAACTCAATCCAGTAAGAACAATTTAGCTAGAATAGTTAACAGTTGATGGAGGTAAATGTGGGTTGCTAAGAGAGTGGGGGAATCCATGGAGCTGAAAATGCAAGGGGAATTTGCACCCTCTTGACAACTTTTGTTACATGGGCCCAACTTGTTGAGAGTACTGAAGAGTTGCTTTTCATGGTGTAGTTTAGGGATGATAAAAGTCTTCACTGGGACCCTTCCAAATTTCACTATATGGAATAAGAGATTTAATTTGTAGAAGGGCAATATAATCTGCCACTCTTAGTGCACTGGTAAAACCCATTACTGCTATGGAAGGGGAGAGAAAAAAAAAATCTTTAGTTCTGAGGAAGAAGCAGAAATGACTGCCGGCCCCAGAGCTACAGCTGAGGGAGGGATATGAGCACAAAGAAGGTCACGGCATTGACACTCAGGAATATAGTGCCTGCCTAAGACTGAAGCTTAATCAGAATAATAAAAAATGCAATTTTCCTCTACCTCCATTATCAGACTAATATCAATGGAATACTGCACCAAGATCATGGAGATAGTTTCTCCCAGAGATGCAGCACAAAGGAGTGACCAAAAGTTAAGAGTGGAGCAACACTGAGAGAAAACCACTGGAATATCAGCCCCCATGCTAAATACAAGATAATACAAGGTATCATTGGAGGTATTTGATGCCTATGGTACCACAAGGATAATTAAGGCAACCACAAAACCCCAGTCCAGCCCACCTCCAGATTAGATGAAGTTAAACATTTGCTTTAAAGGCCTCATAAAAAAAAAAAAAGATATATTGGCCAGGCACGGTGGCTCATGCCTGTAATCCCAGCACTTTGGGAGGCCGAGGTGGGCGAATCATGAGGTCAGGAGATGGAGACTATCCTGGCTAACACGATGAAACCCTGTCTCTACTAAAAATACAAAAAATTAGCTGGGCGTGGTGGTATGCACCTGTAGTCCCAGCTACTCAGGAGGCTGAGGCAAGAGAATCACTTGAAACCGGGAAGCAGAGGTTGCAGTGAGCCAAGATCATACCACTGCACTCCAGCCTGGGCAATAGAGCGAGACTCTGCCTCAAAAAAAAAAAAAAAGAAAAAGAAAAGAAAAAAGGTATATCCACTTCCAGGGATACAATTTAGTTATCCCCATCTCTATTCTTCTACACAAGAGGGTTGCTATCAACAAATAATTTTAAGCATACGAAAAGGCAAAACAAAATAACACATCCAAAGAGCCAAAGGAATCAACACAACTAGACCCAGATATGTCATCAATGCAGAAAATATGAGACAGAGAATTTAAAATAACTACGATTAAAATATTAAAGGCTCTAATGAAGAAAGTAAATGATAAGCAAAATGAAGATTCCTTTTAAATACATATCAAGGCAGAAAAAACTAACCTACAAAAGATTAAAAAAAAATCAGGCTGGCCTCAAACTTCACATTAACATTCAAATACAGCAAAACTAACTGTGGTATACAAAGTGACCCAACATACCCACAATACACCCACACAAAATACCATTCAGTTATCAATGCCAAGAAGTCTCTATTTATTTATTTAGACAGGCTCTTACTCTGTTGGCCAAGCTGGAGTTCAGTGGCACAATCACGGCTCACTGCAACCTCGACTTCCTGGGCTCAGGTGATTCTCTTACCTCAGCCTCCTGAGTATCTGGGACTATTGGTGTGTGCCACCATGCCTTGCTAATTTTCTGTATTTTTTGTAGAGATGGGGTTTTGTCAAGCTGCCCAGGCTGGTATTGAACTCCTGGGCTCAAGTAACCTGTCAAGAAGTCATTACTAAACACACAAAAAAATGTTCAGAAATTTGCTACCTACACTCCTCGTAGAGAAAAAAATAATAAAACCAGCCAATTTTAGATTGGAATTAATATTCATACCTGAGAAATAGAGATATTATATTAAGAGACATAGAAGTGAACACTAAACTCATTCTATAAAAATATAGACACTTAACTCAAAAAAAAATTCTTCAAATAAATAAAATCCCACTGAATATATATTGAGTGCTTAATATGTTCCAGGCATTACTCTGAATAAATGGAATTGAGCAGAGAAAAGGAACAAACAAAAATATTTGTGTGCATGAAGCTGACCCATTTAGACATAAAATTACCGAATAACAAGAGAATTATGACTGCAAAACTAGATGTGAATTCTATAATCCTAGAAAATTCAAAATCAATTGTTTAAGTGATAAGAACCAGAATATAAGGATAGGAAAGCTGAGAAGATGCATCAAAAATGCTAAATTTTCCTCTTTCATGGCATGGCTTCAATTGTTTTCAATTATAAACATGTTCTTTTAAAAATATAACTCAAAAATTGTAATTATTTTCACAATTTTTTCCTTAAGGAGAATTTCTTTTAAATCCTTTGTTGTAAATTTATTTGAGATTCATCAATTCTTTTAATTTCATTTTAGTCTCTTTTTCTTGTTGATTTCAAGTAAAAGTAAAATCAATCTTATTTTATTTTTCAGTTTCTACAGTACCGTTCAATAGTTCTAAAATTATTTTTCTATTATTTATCTGAATTATGTCTTATATAATGTTTGTCTAGAGTAATGAGGTTTATTTTCAAATAGTGGGATTGCTTTTTTCTTAATTTTATTTTGTACATTTCTGTACTGTTTAAATTCTCTACAATGAGCATAAATTATTTTTATAAATAACAATATAACTTTTTTTTCTCAAAAGGCAAGTTATTACTGGGTGGTGAGAATATGAATGATGGTAATTTTCTTCTTTGTCTTTTTCTTTAGTTTGGAAAAAAAAGGATTTAAATAAAGTGACAGTGTAAAATACCGAGTAACATGAAATGTGACAATGTTTTAAAAAATGGAATAACAGGCAGTCTGGTAGATAAATAAGCTTCTGGAGGACAGAGTTGTACCCACCAGGAACTACCATGAAGGATCTAAGAGCATTCTCCCCATCCCTTTTCAACATGAATTACTTCAGAGTCAGAGATCTTTGAGAAATAGTTTTGCTCTTTGAGGAGTGGTGATGGACAGAAAATCTGCATGGGGAACAAAGGTTGCTGGATCTGTCTGTCTGGCTTGCTCCAAGAGGTACATGTGCGCTATTAGCCACTGTCACCCAAATGGTCTGTATTGCCTCTGTTTTGGTAATAGGATCCTAATTCTGAACTAGTGAACCAGACTAATACCTGAGCTGCTTTTTTTTTAAATCCCTGAAAAGGGAAGCAAATCATTTCATTTAAAATGTTATTTAATATGCCTAAACTATACTGACTAGGAATTTCTATTCATTTCTCGCTGAGATAAGCTAATGGCTACATGGTAAACTCTCCAGGAAATAGTTACACGGAAACCGGGAATGAGTCCAGGTTCCCTTTTGTTGTTTTTGTCAACCAATAGCACAAATCCTCTTGAAACCTGCAGCTTATCATGCTCATTATCTAAAGTGGAACAAAAACTGCCATTAATGTTCCAGAGGGGGCCTTGGGTGAGAAGGTGGAGAGATGAGAAGCTTTAAAATATGGAACACTTAGTTCAGGCTGGGGAAGTGTCTGAAGTAAAGTTTTTTAAAAGAATCATAGTAGAAAATAGATTGCATATTTTCATAAAGTAAATTGCCTGGGTAATACATAAATTTAAAAGACAGTAGTTCTTGTTACCTTCACAATGTGCCCCGTGTTCTGAATATATACCTGCTGTCAGATTCTGTCTATTCACGAATAGCAATGCTTCACATTCTATGGCCATAAGAAGATTTATTTTAAAACAATAGAGAAAGTCACCAATTAGCAGCACAAAAGGGAAAAAACAGAAAGAGAAAGAGATTCCTTGTTCAGCAGGGATGCCTTTTAATGCTTTCTTGTCAGACTTCTATGGCTCCATGCGCTCTATCAGTTACTTTAGGTCTCAGACATGGAACATTTCTTTCAAAAGGTCATCCCTACATGGCATTTTCCCCCATTCAATTTTTAGAAATTCTAACCCCAGTAAGTTTAACCATCTAGGAGCCTGAGAGCAACAACATATTTCAGTGCTGCTGAAACCAGTGTTAGATTAAATACAGGCCTCATGGATGTTTTCCATATGACATCTTTGTAGCTGCAACAGCCTACTCAAAAATCATCAGCTTTCAAGGTGTTGAGGTTTGCAAGACATCAAGAAAATTGAAGAGCACAACATTATTAGATTTTAAAACTATGGTCAAAGTATAACCTATTTTAAATGTAATGAATTTTCAACCAATAAAAGGTCAACAATAGCTCTTGAGTCGTGAGTACATGTATAACCCTGGAGCGCTACACAGTATGATCTGGACAATTTGCAGAGTAACCACAGTCTGGGAGATGCATGCCTGCTAGAAAGTCACCTTTCAAGTCATTGTTTGTCTTTGCCTTTATGGAGAAGGTGAAATACACTTCAAAGCTTTAAACACACTCTCAGAATTTAGGGACTTGCCACCATTGAGAAACTGTTTGAGGACAATGAAGGTTGAAAGGCTTCAGCCTATAAAGTCCCTCAGGATTTGAGATCAAAGCTGAGGCCAGTTCAAGAAATCTGCAGCCAATGGTAGCTCAATACATAGGAGAAATGGTCAGCTACCCTTTGTTATCATTTGAGGCAGAAAAAAAGTTTTCCTACCCATGATGATTTCATCATTAAGTCTAAACAGGGTCTAACAACACCATCATTAGTGCACCCTTTTAGTGTGCCTGCATGTGGGGTGTGGCATGTGTGTTAAAATTAAGAGGTAAAATTGGTGATGGGGTGGAAATCAGTACACCAATAAAAAATATTTAATTAAATTCATTAAGTGTTTATAAGGTAAAACCTACGTGTCCTATACAAGGGCCCATGCTACATTGCTTCATACTGGAGACAGTGAAATATAGTGATATTTATGATAGATTTTTAAAGATCTTACAATTTAAAGACATAAAAATTGATCTTTTTCTTTTAGAAAGAATATAAATTGAGAGCTAAAATTTGTATTCAATAAGCAAAACAAATACTTTGTTTATGCGTTAGCTCTATTAGTACGTGAAAGAAAGAAAACTGAAGAAGAAAAAGGACAGAAGGGTTCAGAGAGAATGAAAAATGGAAGGAAAACATTGAGGAAAGATACACATGGAGAGAGGTTAACACACAAGACAAATAAAAACATGTAAGAAGGGAGGATTACTATATGAGAAAATCAGAGGAAGAGAAAAGAGAAATGGAAAAGACAAAAGAGGCAAAAAAAAAATAAAGGAGAAAAACTCAGAATGATGGGGAAGACAGAGGTAAAAGAAAAGAGATTCCAGAATTTTTTTAAGTACCATAAAAAAGCAGAAGAAAAGTGAGACTGAAATACAGACACTGGCTGAGGTAGAAGGAATACAGATAAGTATCACAGATTCTGAAGTATTAGGTAGAGATAAACTGTTCGTGTCCTATTCTGCTGCTCTCTTCTCTGGCAAATTTAGACAACATGATTAATTCTCTTTGACGTCCTGAGTGAGCATTGGTCATAGCCCAGAAGATCCCCTCTGAGTATATAGCCACATTAGCCAAGTAAAAAGAAACATTTTCTCAGACTTGCCAAGGTATGACTGGTGAGATTACACTCTAGAGGATATTCCACCAAAAAAAAAAAAAATCTAGATTTTGGCTGAGAGATTTCCAAGTGATAATTCAAGCAAGGTTTTCAGAAGACTTCCTGAATATGCAAATCTCCATATCATATTTCTCAACTGTGGCACTGTTGACATTTCAAGCCGGATAATTCCTTCTGTGCCAGGGTTGTCTGTGTATTGTAGGATTTTAGCAGAATCCCTGACCTCTCTGTACTAGATGCCAGTAGCACCTGCCTGTAGCTACAATCAAAACCAGACATTGCCAACTGTCCCCTGGGGAGCCTGGGTGGAGTGCAAAATCACGCTGTGGAGCACCACTGCTCTAATGCATTAACATTAATGAGTTTGCACAATTAGATAGCAAAGAGTAGGAAATAGGTATTTCCTGGATAAGGTGTGATGCTGCACAGAAATTAACCATGTTGAGTCCAACACCTTAACCACTCGGCCATCACAGCCACAGAAATTAACCATATCTAAATTACAGTTAGTCCCAATTTCCTCTCACCCACCTTCACAAACCCATAATGTTAGCTTAGTTCTATACATCCCTTCTAGGAGACCTGGGACCATTGGTCTAACCAGAGTTTGGAGAGAGTCCCCGGAGCACCAACTATAATCAGGACAGTCGGCTGGGTGCTTCTTATCAACTCTGGATTGAGGGCGGTGGCAACAGCATCAAATGGGCCAACACAAATACTGAATGACAAATGCTTTAGAGTCAGATTAACTATAGTACAGGAGGGGGGCATGATTTTCTGGCACAGAATCCTCCACTAGAGTGTCATTTTCCTCTCTAGGCTTTCTATTTGAAAACCCTCAGAGAACATTAAAAACTTCAGTTTTAGCAGGTGCCTGGCTTTGCTGAGTTCAATTAAGTTGCACAGTTTCTAAATTACCCCCCAGATATTAGCCATAGGCTATTGAGACACAAGCCAGGCAGGATGCAGGCCAGGGTCTAAGGATTCTAATCAACTCCAAAGAGGAATTTCAACTCCTAAAACGACCCTGGAATTTTGCCATGAGCAGGTCTTTGAGTTCGGCTACTTTATTTAGATAGCACTATGATGAGGCATAGCCATCAGGACATTGCTATGCTATCTTTCATATGTAATTTTCTTGCTTATGATGCCAGCTTTCAGTCAGCCTTTACCCCATGGTTTTTTGTTTGTTTGTTTGTTTTTATTTTTATTGTTTTGTTATACAGATCTCTTTTCAATACAACTTTTTTATTATGCAGAAAATAAACTTAACTACTCAGATAACTCTGTTTATATTTGTTAGCAGACAAAAAAAGTGAGAAATACACGTTAGATTAGAAAAATAGAAACTATACCCAAAAGATAGAAAATGAAAAGTGAAAGTCTGTCTTTCCTTCCTTTTCCTCAAGAGAAATCATTCTCTGCAGTTTCAAGTGACTCTGGGCATGGGAAATCACCATAACTGAATGCACACATATATTCACTGTCCACTAATGATGAGGCTTTGGATATGCAGCACATTGTTAGAAAATAAATATCAATTATGATTTCACATAGAAAGATTTTATATTAAGCATCCTGTTCTCTACTTTTATGAAAATCTGTTTTAGAGATTATCCCATCTGTTTTCATAGTGACCTAGATCAGTCTTTTGAGGATTGTTCCACATGAAATTGTGTGGATATATAACTCTAATCTGTATGCTATTGAAAGCAACTTTAGGTCTTTGTTGTTGTTGATGATGATTTTGATACTACACAGAAAGACACAAAGAATACTCTTGTACATAAATCTTAGTAAACTTTTGCAAATGTATCCATAGGAAACATTTTCTAATGATTTTAAAAGTGTAATATCTCTAGACTTCCTCCTGGAATCATTCATTCTGGGAGAAGTTTCAAAATGGTCTCTCATCTAGTCAAAAAGTACATATTTGAATAAGAAAAGACCACACACATATTACATGTTTCCATTTATATAAAATGTCCAGAATAGGCAAATCTATACAGACAGAAAGTAGACTAAAGGCTGCCAAGGGCCTGTATAGAAAGGGAAATGGGGAGTGATTGAAAATGGAAATAACCTTCTTTCGGGGGTGATAAAAATGTTCTGGTATTAGATAGTAGTGATGATCACACAACTGCAATATATTATACTACAAACCACTTCATCATTCACTTTAAAAGTGTAAAATTCATGGTATGTAAATCACGCCTTAATAAAGCTATAATTAAAACTATGTATGTGTACATGTAATTTCTACATAAATAAGCAACTATTTTTGTATGTGAATATTAATAAGAACAAAGTTGGAAATCTCTACCCAGTTGGGCCTGGACTGACCCAGAGAAAAAAGTGATATTGACCTTGGGTACAAAAGAGGCCAGACTACATTCTAGGACCCAGATACTTTTTCATTATTTGAAGGGTATCTGTAGCTATATATGGATGCTAATTATATTTTCTGAGGCAATACTCAGAGATTTTATGTAACTGGTACAAGTTCACTTGTAATCAGACTTACAGTTAGACAGAATGCTTGAGAGCATGTCTGTTCTGGGAAGCTGAGGAGTGAAGTTTCAACACATGCATAGAGCTAGTATTATCCTGAAAGTTGGAAATAAGAAACAGCAGTTCAAACAAATACTAAATTACTTCTTATTATGTATTCATTTGGAAATTATCTATTTCACTTACAAGGGCCAATTGAAATACAGAAGTGTTAAAATAAAAGCTGCCCAAGTCACAGAAGGCAACCAAAAAGAGGAGGTTAAACATCAGAATTAAAGCGTATATTTATATATATTTATTTTGATATATATATATATATATATATACAATTACTCTAGAAAGAATCTTAAAGAAGTTTTTTTTTACTACTACCATGAGACTCTTTGTTTGACAGTCATCTGATTTACATAAAATCAAATCTGGAAACTGAAAAGAAAGAGATAATTACATGCAATTACTTTGCCATGGAAGGTGGTTCCTATTACTAAATGGATTTACGTTTCTTTTTTCTTTCCCAATTATCACCACCTGAAAAGAAAAAGAAAAGTCCCTTACATTAACATTCTTGTGTAACCACATTTATTATTTGGGGATGAAGGAAGGATCCTCTTTTAAGTTTCACTCTCCGCTAATGATGAGGCTTTGAATATGCAGTATATTGTTAGAAAATAAAAATCAATTCATTTACTCCTCCAGGTTTATGTGCAGATTTGGATCCGAGTGTGTTCTTTTCAGACCAAATACTTAGTTCTACAAGTTTTGTGCTTTCTGACTGCCGAATGATATAAGCTCAGTGGATTTTTGCCTTATTCTCTAACAGTCTGGCATTTTTCCAGACCAGAAAAAATTATGTAAATCAGAGAAAAAGAGAAATCTACTATGTGCTTTATGGAAATTTGAAGAACAAAAGAAGAAACAGAGAAGAACCTGAGAAAGGTGAATTGGCTGTTATTACAATTTTAAAAGGAAATTTTTGAACATATTGGAATCTAAGGTGTGTATCTAATAATCTGACCTAGATCAGTCTATAAATTACATACATATATATATGTATATATACCTAATTTTGGGGGTTTTCTTCTTGCTCATTGGATTTGGATTAAATATAAACTGTAACTATACATAATATATGTTACATATTATATATAATATGTTTGTAACTATAATAATATAGTTATATTTAACTGTATATAATAATATATATAATGTAACTATATTATATATATAGTTATATATTTATATTCCTTAGAATACCAGCCTGATAAATAAGGTGTATATATAAGGTGAGTGTGTGTGTATATATATATATATATATATATATATATATATACACACACACTTTATATATATATATACACACCATGTATATATATATACACATACCATATATATATATACACACACCATATATATATATATACACACCATATATATATATACACACCATATATATATATATATATATATACACCTTACGTATACACCTTTTATATATATATATACACACACAGGTATATATGTGTGCAGAGAGAGAGCATTTGTGTGAGAGCAAGAATGCTGAGTTGGCTTTATTCATAAGGGAGAAAAGATGCAGAGCAAGTGCAAAATTCTAGAATATGTTATTAAAAGGTTTTCTCACTACCTTTAAACCAATGTAACTCACATATTATACACCGTAATTTATATAAAAATTGAAATTACACCTGTCACCTACATTTCAATGGTTTGAGTCAGAAATCTGCTCTCTACTTTTTAGATAGTAAAACATTATACTTACATGGAATTACCTGAATTCAAACATCCACCTTCATCTGTTAAGTTTTTATTCCTACCAAAATTGTAATGTTTTAAATATGAAGAGTAAACAGAAAGCCTATAATAAAGGTAGGAGAGTAGCATTCATTTAAAACACTTAATCTGCTTATAGAAAAATTCGTTAATCATAAAACTGCTTTGCAAAGATTATGACAGCAAAAGAAATGTAGCGTGGCTGACTCCATCTTGTTTCTAGCCTCACAGGCTGGCTGTCTTCACTCATTCTTGGGTGTAGGCCAAGCTAAACATGGGAGGATTTTAGTTTGTGGCTTATCTTTGAAACAAGGATGATATAGTCCCTCCCTAAAACTAACCCCCTTCTTGCTCAGGGATGGAAAACTATCTTTATAAAATAAATGGAAGGCCAGGAGATTAAGAGTATAGGACGGGTCTGAATTCTGCTAAAATGTAGGCATAGTTTCTATAATCCCCCCTTACTGCTCAAGAGTCCTGTGGCCAGAGGTCACAAGATTTGTGATTTCCTCAATTGCTTCTGCAGATAACATCACTATTATAGAACCTAAGATTGCTCTTTGAGATGATTTTCAGATTTTTGCACTCTAGCAACAGACTAATCCCGCTTGGACCATGACTCATGACTCACGACTCATCCAGTCCCGTGGTCCCCACCCGAAAGTGAACTCAGCACATGAGGACCATTTTCCATACCCCTATGATTTCATCCCCAACCAAGCAGCAGCACCCATTCTCTAGTCCCCTCCTCACCAATTTATCCATAAAAACCTTAGCCTCTGAGTTCTCAGGGAGGCTAATTTGACTAACAATGAACTCCATCTTCCACATGGCAAGCTTTGCATTAATTAAATTTTTTTTTTACTGCACTACTACTGGCTCACTGAATTGCTTTTGTCTATGCAGTGACCAGGAAAAACACATCAAGTGATTATATTTACAACTGAAAAAATAGGTTGAATAAAATATTGATTTCCCTATTCATGAAGAAGCAATGAGAAAAGGTAAGTTATATATTTTTTAAAAAGTTAGTCTTTTAAAGGTTTTTCTCATGATCAGGATCAGAAAAACCATAGAAATGTTTTGATCATTGTGCTTTTCTGTGGATGAAATAATTCCCAAGGATATCCCTTGCCATGGAATCAGGTCCAGAGAGGGAAGGGGAACAGAAACGAATTCTTCAGGCTTGGCTTCCCAGCCACCTTGTCTGTGAAATGAACTTTCTTTTCTAAGAAAAGCCTAAAGGATTTCATCCTTCCAGCTACTCCGTAGTTGAAGCAGGATTACTAATCTGGCTGATTTACACCCACCACTAAATTATCTATAAGAGAGAAATTTTTCCCCTTTGCAGTAGTCTCAAATTTATACATATATAGACACACACTCACGTAAACTTATAAACATATATATATATGCATGTGTGTGTATATATATAATTAGTTAAGACTAAAATTTGTAATGTGCTTCAGTTTGCAAAGCAATTTCATCGTATGCTCTTCCTTCTGATTATCATACAGGGCAGATTATTATCCCTAAATTTAAGGAGATGGCGAGGTCATGTAACTTGTCTGATGTCACACAGCTATAATGATGGTTCCCCAATGTATACATGTATCAAATCATCTTGTTGTATGCCTTGAGTATACACAATTTGTATTTGTCAATAAAAGATTTCAAAATTTAAAAATAGAAAAAAGACATTGCTAGGAACACATAAAAAATACACTTTGTTTTAAACTTTAGTTTTTATATTATGTAATTATATATATAACACCTCTGATTTTATTTAACAGATACCACTGATCAGTTAGCAATGGTTACTAAGCAGTTAGTTGAATCAGTTTTTAAACTCAGCCCCAAGTTGGAAATTTCTTTTGGACTGTGATATTTTGAATCACCGCTTCTGAATTTCCAGTAAATGTAATAGAATCATCTTGAGCTCAGGCAAAAGACGTTTATTTTCCTTCTTATCAGGTGGAAAGTATATTTGTTATATTTTAATTTGATACATTTTAATGAAACCAAATTTCAGTTACACTTGAAGGATAATATCTGCGAAGAGAAAGAAGATAGAGAATTTGGAGTCATCCAAGAGCTGAGGAAAAATCTACACTGTAATTCCAATTTACCTATTAAGGTCATTTACTCAGAATCATTAGTTTCATTTTTCTATGGGACCATTTCCCTGAGGTGAAGCCCCAGCATGTCAGACCCTCTTAACAACAGAGAACATTATGAATAATAAATGAGACTAGTGAAGCACTTTAACTGAGTGCTATGTAAGTAATATTATCTTAAGAGGAAGAAAAATATTCATGTGGGAATTGAATCTGATTTCTTTTTCGCACCATATGGTGATCTCCATGTTAGTACAAGAATGGCTTGATCTTTTTTTAATGGAATAAGATTTTGGTGGAGGTCAATACAGGCTCACACTGCAGTGAAATCTCTAGAATATCACAACACACACAACACAGTAAAATAAAACTAAAATTCTCAAAAATCTCCATTCAAATCCACATGATCAAAACTGAAAACACTGATAACATTAGGATAGAAATGTGGCAAGACGTATCTTCAAAGTAATGAAATTCCTTTCTTTATGACATAAAAGAGAAACTATCATTCATAACATAGATACTGAGAAATTTTTGGCTAGAAATGAGCAAAATCATAATTATTACCAATACATAAAGTCTTGATAATAAACCAAAAAATTAGATCAAGAAGTTGATTTCTTAGTGTGGTTATTTCAAGGCACTTCTAGTTACCCAATATAGGACTGATTCAAAACATCAAACCTTAGGAATAAAGACTTATTTTTTAATCCAGTCTATCATTGATGGACATTTGGGTTGGTTCCAAGTCTTTGCTACTGTGAATAGTGATGCAATAAACATATGTGTGCATGTGTCTTCGTAGCAGCATGATTTATAATCCTTTGGGTATATACCCGGTAATGGGATTGCTGGGTCAAATGGTATTTCTAGTTCTAGATCCTTGAGGAATCGCCACACTGTCTTCCACAATGGTTGAACTAGTTTACAGTTCCACCAACAGTGTCAAAGCGTTCCTATTTCTCCACATCCTCTCCAGCACCTGTTGTTTCCTGACTTTTTAATGATCACCATTCTAACTGGTGTGAGATGGTATCTCATTGTGGTTTTGATTAAGAAAATGTGGCACAAATACACCATGGAACACTATGCAGCCATAAAAAAGGATGATTTCACGTCCTTTGCAAGGACATGGATGAAGCTGGAAACCATCATTCTCAGCAAACTATCACAAGGACAAAAAACCAAACACTGCATGTTCTCACTCATAGGTGGGAATTGAACAATGAGAACACATGGACACAGGAAGGGGAACATCACACACCAGGGCCTGTTGTGGGGTTGGGGGAGGAGTGAGGGATAGCATTAAGAGATATACCTAATGTAAATGACGAGTTAATGAGTGCAGCACACCAACATGGCACATGTATACATATGTAACAAACCTGCACGTTGTGCACATGTACCCTAGAATTTAAAGTAAAAAAAAAAAATTTTTTTTTTAAAAGACATTTTTTAAGGAGCCTCTAATCCTTTATGGGTCAAGGGCCCATTTAAGAATCTGTGAATTAATCATTAATGTACATAATTGTTAAATTCTGTGCAATATTTCAAGGAATTTACAGCACCTAGTAAAATCCATTGGAGGACGCTCCAGAAATCCACATCTTTTTTCTAATGCTTGTGTACTATTCTCCAACCATCCTCCTCCTAAAAATTAGTGAAGAATGTCCCAAAAAGTGCCTGGAGGATGGGGGCAATGTAAGGGCAGAAAACTGAATAAGGTATACAGTGTTACCAGCACATGCAGATTTGGAATATTGAATACTGAAATAGTAGTGTTCCAAAACACCATTGCCTGGGAGACGTTGTCTCCCACCACACAAAAAGTGCCAAGGTATTGCATAAGTGGAGAAACTGCTTTCATGTTAGACTAATTGCTACTAAAGGACTTTTAACCTTTTTTCTTCAAATGCACACACATACATACAAATCAGTTGCCAGCAGAAACTCTTTTTCTTATTCTGGAAAGTGAATGAAGACCTCCACCCCCAACGCACATAGATGCAGAGCGCTTAGGTTTCAGTGACAGAGCTATACTGCCGCACAGCTATTGCTGAAGTTAACAATTACACTAAAAAAAAAAAAAAAAAAAAAAAAAAAAGGTAGCAGTAATAAAGGCCCTAAAGCTGGAAGAAGACATGTTACCATAGACAAGGTGTCATGAGAAAAGAATAAGTCATGAGAAAAGAATAAGTCATGAGAAAAGAATAAGTCATAAGAAAATGGACAAGATCAACACAGTTACTGTTCTACTAACCACACTACTGAAGAAATAGTATTACCACACTTTCACTGAGATAATGTATTAGAGACTGATACCAGAATCTGCTATACATCCTTCAGAATGCCTTGAACATTATATTTTATGTTCATTTTATAGGCTTACAACATGTTGTATAGTTTTCTTCAAAGATTAGATTCAGTAATTTTCAGAAAATTACTTTCTCATCATCATTTAAGTCCAGCTAAAGAGTCTTTCAGATTATTGCTATAGTTAGTAATGCTTTCTTAAGTGATTCATCTGGCTTATATATCCCACATTTTCCTAAATAATTTATTCATTAAAGTACATTTATTTAGGGCATTCTTTATATGTAAGACTTTACTTTTAAATCTTTTACAATATAAGCCTATGATGTCATAGCTTTATAGCACAAACATAGAATATCTAACAATAATTAACTAGAAAAAAACAGAAGCAACCTAAAAGGATAATTTACATTAACCTCTACTTTTAAAAGCCTATTTTACATTTCCTATTGAATGATTCTTTCCAGATGTAATAGCACAAAGAACACTGTTAGAGAAGGGGAAAAAAGTGAGAAAAATGGAAATAGGAGATAAATTGAGGGAAATAAAGAAAAGCAAAATAGCATAAAACACCATTCTAGCTAATGCTTTTACTTTACATTTTATCAAATACACTAATCTGTTGTTTCTCTATTCATGCGTTTTTGTAAAAGTAGCATCATTATTTGGATCTGATCCCTTTGAAAATCAAGAAAGTCCATACATAGTCTAAAAAAGTCCATGTTTTTTAGAATTGTTGAATTCTTTCTATAATCTTCTACAAGTAAAATAAAACACTAGTAATTTCTAACAGAATTTAATAGGTCAGGATAAAAATTTGAAGATAAGCTAAATTCATAGTAATTTACTGCTAGAAGATCAGTTTTTGTTTTTACTTTTGTACAACTCTATTTGATGGAGAGTGGTTGTTTTCTTCTAGTCCAACATCCCTTTTTACTACTTAAGTAATAGGATGTTATCAGATTCTCTCTTAGGGAAATATATTTTGGAAAAAAAGTTAATCTTCATTCACCTACCCATCTCTCTGAACATATTTGGCCAATCACAATATTTCTTCTTCTGTGATGAGTTAGTTCAAGGTTTGGTACATGAACTCAACAAGAGTAACCCTCAGGGCATTTTGAACGGAGCTTTCAGGGAGATGCTCTTTTGCTTAAGCTACTTTGAGTTTAGTTTCTATTGCTTACAACCCAAAGTCTTGAATAATACATTAGTGTAATGTTTCCTCTATGTAAAATTAATACTTTTTGAGTGGTAAACAGTGAATTGATGAAAAACAAAGAGATTATTTTAACATGCATAAATTCTAATATAGTGTATTTTTATTTCCCCAAGAGTTGGTGTATATTAGCAAGACAGATCATTTGGAATTAGAGTATGGTCTATGTTTACAGAAATTTTGTCTTATAAGATTCAGCACACTGAGCCACAACCAAGAAATAAAAAGAATACAAAATCCTTATCTGCATGTGTGTGAAAATAAGACATAAAATGAGTGCTGATGGATGGCTGACATCGTGTTTCAAACTGGGAAGTTGAATAATCATAACTACCTGCAAGTTCTACCTATAAGTTCTAAGACGTTTTCTGTAAATCAATAAGATTGATCATGTTTGTTTTATTTTTGAATAATAATGAAGCTCTAAAAACTCAAATTAGGTTAAAAATGCATGTAGAATAATTATGATTCATAACAAAACAATAGAAATGAACAAAATATACTACTCTTAATTCTACAAATTAATATGGGTAAAGAAATTCATGAATATACACAGTCAAGAATGACAAAACAAAAGGAAATTTTCAACGCTAGGGTAATTAATAACATAAACTATGCATTGGCTTCGATTTCTAACCAAAATACAGCTCATACTTTATCGACGGATTCAAACGAATTTTTCATTTTTTATTTTGGAAGGAGCAGTCAAATGCTGCCAGCTTGAGCAACTGAATGAATTAGCTTCCTCAGGAAAAAATTATGGAGAATGGCCAAATTCTCAAAATTGATGCTTTAGAAATCAATGAGCATAAGTCAATTTGATGAAAACATTCTTTCTGAACATGAGATCTTCCTCTGTGACCCAAAGATATTTTTAAACACATAGTCAACTTTTACAGATTAAAAAGAGAAAAAAACATTGCTGCAATTTCTAGAACATGGCACTAGATTTTGGAATTTCTCCATTTTAATAAAACTAAATAAATAGTTAATGACAAACATAATAAGGGTAGTATTATCAAAAGCAAAAAAAAAAATCTTCCAAAAGTGTAGTACGTTTAATACTTGTAATCTCATTCAGTCTAATATGCTTGCGATGAAGCTTCAAAATAAGTATTGACACTATTTTACCCCGATGGAAAACAAGTCTTACAGTGCCTTTTGCATTAACCCTTTTAGAAAATAACAAATTACTCTGATGCTCTGACCTAGGTGAAGAGTGGACAAAAATGACTCCATGTAACTAAAAGGAAATTTCCTGTTCAGAATTCTATCAACATACAATGATAGTTCCACCTTAAAATTTGGCTTCAAGAAGTGTTACCCAGCAATGGGTTCAATAGAAACCAAACCCCAGCATTATAATGTACCCATGTAACAAACATGCACATGTACCCTCTGAATCTAAAACAATATACATAAATAAATAAACAAATAAATAAAATTAGCAGATGAAATTAAGAGAGAAAAAGGGAAATGTTATCCTGAAAAGCCTGGCTTCTAAAACAAAATAAAATAATTTACATAAAGAAATTTGAATGTAGTAGATACTTGTAAGTCTTTTCTGTTCTTAAAATATTCAGGCCAGGTGTAGTGGCTCAAGCCTATAAGCCCAGCACTTTGGGAGGCTGAGGCAAGAGGATCACTTGAGGTCAGGTGTTTGAGAACCTGGCCCACATGGTGAAGCTCCTTCTCTACTAAAAATATAAAAATTAGTCAGGCATGGTGGCACCTGCCTGTAGCCCTAGGTACTCGGGAGGTGGAGACAGGAGAATTGCTTGAAACCAGGAGGCAGAGATTTCAGTGAGCCAAGATCTTGCCACTACACTTCAGCCTATGAAACAGAGTAAGACTCTGTTTCAAACAAAATATAACATAAAATAAAAAATAAACTAATCAAACAGGATCATTAATTTTGGGAATCCCAAAGGCCTAAACCAGTTGTTCTCAACCCAGCTGCATATTAGAATCACCTAGAGAACTTTATAGGATTATAGATTCCTTAGGCTTACCACCATAGGCATCCTGAGATTCTGCTACAATAGGCGTAGTCTGGGACTCAGGCATCTGTAAAATTTTTTAAAGGTTCCCAGATAATTTTAACGTGTAGCCATAACGAAGAAACACTGGCCAAGACAGATACATAGTATGTAGGTACCCACACATTTTATTGCATGAATGAACAAGTGAATAAATCAATCAAAATAGAGCAGTAATTTACTTTTACTTAGAACTGTTCTCTCTCTAGCTCGTTTGCTCCTAAACATACGTCACTGCACACAACTCAACTTAAATTTGACCCTATTGCTTCCTAATAGTCCACAATTATGCAGCATCTTTTAACCTGGCAAGGTAATATGTTTTAAATAGTTCTTCTGCCCACCTTGATTCGGACCATCTTATGTCTGCCAATGTGAGACACTTTAAACACTAATACCATGAATATATCTCTACTTCACAACAGACAAAGGGAAAGTATTGAAACTACTGTCCTCTACATGCTTGAGAAATAATGACTTTTCCCTGAAGATATTATAATTAGGTAACTTCAATTTAAGAAATGTAAAGACTATTTTGTGGGGAAGAGGTGTTTTAAAAGAAAGAAAATTATCACCATTTTAAAATTATTAAATCTTTGAATACAGTGACCACAGTTTATATGTACACAGTAGATATTCAATAAATATTTGCTAAAGTTAAGAATAAAGGAACCAAATCTTTCAAAAGGAAAATTCTCAGATCTAATCTAGATTTTTAAAAAAGTATAGAACTAAAATATGCAAATTTTTTCCACTCAAAAATATACTATGTATATACATTAATATACTAATTTACATAAAATTTGTATGTAATGTAATATTTTAGAAAAAAATGATGTTAAATAGAACTGACAGCAGCAAGAAATTCATTATTATGGTACAATATTGTCTTGGTGCTTTTTTTCTCCCTCTCTTAGATGGATAACAAGTCACCAAATATGATCTCATAGTTTATGATGTCTTCTATATTTCAAGTCACCAAAATATGCCCTGATCAGCTACCTCCATCCATCTTACCTTTGGGCTGAAAATGTGGGATACTTTTTTGTCTTTCCTGTCAACTGAATGTACAATAACTGCCCAATATTATGAAACATGTTCACCTTCTTAGGACTACAGTCATTTCAAAAATGTTAAAAGATCACACAATATATCCAGTTTCAAATTAGAGCCAGGTTAACCTGTTACTATAGTTACTAAATCCCCAAAAGAAATGCATGCAAGCACATAGACAGTGTGTGTGTGTGTGTGTGTGTGTGTGTGTGTGTGTGTGTGCATGTGTGTAGAATACTGATATGATTTGTCTGTGTCCCCACCCACCCAAATCTCATCCTGAATTGTAATCCCCATAATCCCTACATGTCTCGGGAGAGGCCTGGTGGGAGGTGATTGAATCATGGAGGCGGTTTCCTCCATGCTGTTCTTGTGGTAGTGAGTGAATTCTCATGAGATCTAATGGTTTTATAAGGGGCTCTTCGCCTTTCCATATTCACTCTGTCTCTCACCTGCTACCATGTAAGATGTGCCTTCCACCTTCCACCAGGATTTTGTTTCCTGAGGCCTCCCCAGCCATTCAGAACTGTGAGTCAATTAAACCTCTTTTCTTTATAAATTACCCAGGCTCGGGTAGTTCTTTTACAGTAGTGTGAAAACTGACTAATATTATACAAATAGGAATCATTTTAGTTTTAAAACTTTGAGAAACAGAAGAATTATATAAACTAGAACAATGGTTCTTAGTAATGAAATGAAATAGAGACTGTAGATGCAACTATATGATGCACTTGTGGGCTTATTTACTTACCTTCATTTGTAAACTCTCTACATTTATAAAGGAAATCCTTCCAATATAACTAGGGAAAATGAAATTTTAAATTTCAAAAGTAAAATATTAAATCTCCCTTCGAATCTCAAATATTAAAAATATCTTGTGATACCTCGATGTGCAAATCCCCTAGAGTACATTCCTTTTGTATGGATATGATGTCAGCTCTGTTAAAAAACAAACAAACCATTCATGTTAATAACACAAAAGGCAGGCCTTTTCTATTTTAAATTATTTGAAGATGTATGTGTATATACATGTGCACATGTGTGTATTCAAAGCTTTTGTTATCTGTGATGGTTAATATTAGGTGTCAACTTGATTGTATTGAGGGATGCCTAAATGGCTGGAAAAGTATTGTTTCTGGGTATGTCTGTGAGGGTGTTTCCAGAAGAGACTGACATTTGAGTTGGTGAAAAGAGAGGAAGGTCCATCTTCAATGTGGGTGGATACCATGCAATTTGCTACGAGTATGCCTACAACAAATCAGGCAAAAGAAGGTGGAGTAAGTTTGTTTGCTGAGTCTTCTGGCTCCTTTTTCATCTTCCTGTGCTGGAATCTTGCTTCTGTTCCTCCTGCTTTTGGACATCAGATTCCAGGTTCTTCAGCCTTTGAACACCGGGGCTTGCACCAGCCCCTGTCCAGGGGCTCTTTGCATAGTAGTATCTCATTGTGGTTTTAATTTGCATTTCCCTAATGACTACTGTTCTTGAATATCTTTCACAAACTTTTTTGATTCTTCTTTGGTAAAGTGTCTCTCCAAATCTTTTGCCTATTTTTAGTTTCTTTTTTCTTATTATTTAGTTTTAAAATGCTTTTTATATATTTTAGATACTAATCCTTTATCAGATACTATGTGATTTGAAAATATGTTCTCCAGTCTTCTTGATCTTCTCAATCTCTTAACAGTCAGTGTCTCTTGCAGTGAAAAAGTTTTAATTTTGATAAACAGAAATTTATCCATTTTTTCCTTGTAAGTATCTTGCCTTTGGGGCATCTAAAAACAGATTGACTAACCCAATGTCATAAAAATGTTCTCTTATGTTTTATCTACATGTTTTACAATTTTACATTTAGGCATATCACCCATTTAAATTAATTCTATATAAAGTCATGAGATGTGTATTGAGATTTATATTTTTGCATGTATATTTCTAGTTGCACTGCATAGTTTTTTGAAAACATCATTTTTTTCATTGTCTTTCCATTTTTGTCAAATAGCAGTCAATCTTATTCGTATAGATCTATTTTGGTACTCTATTCTCTTCCATTGATCAATTTGTCCATTCTTCTGCCAATACAACACTATTTTGAGTGCTGTAAATTTAGCGTGAATCTTAAAATTAGATAGAGTGGATCCCCAAACTTTGTGATTTTTTAAAAGAATTTTGTCTCTACTAGTTCCTTCTCCTGTCCAAAGAAAGAAATGTTATATCAGCTTTTTAACATCTAATTCTTGCCATCATTTTGATTGGAATTGCTTTTAACATAGATCAACCTGGGAAAACAGTACATCTGAACAATACTAAGTCTTTCAGTCCAAAAAGAGGATGTATCTCTTCATTTGATGGCACATGAGAAGGAATGTGAGTTGGTATTAAGGACCTAAGAGAAGCCCCCAGTTGACTACCAACAAGGAAATGGGAACTTTAGGCCAAAAATCACAAGAAAGTAAATTTGACCAATGACATGAATGAGCTTGAAAGTGGATTCATCCATACAGCCTGCAGATGAGAGACTAACCCGGACTACACCTTAATTTTGGCCTTCTGAGACTGTCCAGGCAGAGAACCCAGAATGTCAGAATGTTTACCTGCAAAATTGTTAGATAATTAATTTGTTTTGTTTCAAGTCACTGTGTTTGCTGTTATTTGCTAAACTACAATGAAAAACTAATACAATACCTTTGTATAATCCCTTCTTCTTGAGTGTGAGTTGGACCTAGTTACTGATTTCTAATGAATACAACACATCAAAAGGGATGCATATCAATTCCATAATTAGGTTATAAATGACTCTGGCTTTCACCCTGCTGAAAATCTCTCACTATGGCCTGCTCCACTTGCATGTTTTAATGAAGCAAGCTGCCATGGTACAGAGGCCAATGTGTGAAGGAACTGAGGGCAGCCTTTGGTTAATAGCCTGTAAGTAATTGAGAACCTGACAGTAACAGCCCATGAGTAACTGAACTCTGACAAGAACTATGTGAGCTTTCCCAGTTGAGCCTTCACATGAGACTCCAACCTGGATAGATTTCTTGATGGTAAGATAACAAATGTGTGCAGTCTTAAACCATTAAATTTTGGAATAATTTATTATGAAGCAGTAGATATCTGATACATATTTTATTTTAACTTACCTATAACCATTTTTCATGTGTGTGTGAGTGTGTGTGTGTGTTATATATAACTTAGTGATTGCTCTAGGAATTACAATATATATGTATAACTTATTAGTCTATTAAAATTAATATTTACAATTTCAAGTAAATGATAAAAATCTTATAACCATATAGGTCCTGTTAACCTCTCTCCCTTTATGCTGTAATTTCCTATGAGGTAGTAGGCAGTATAATGCCCCCTCCCCAACACAAAAAAATATTCACACCCTGAATCTCAAAACCTATTAATAAGTAAACTTACAAGGCAAAAGGATCTCTGTGAGTGTGATTAAAGTTAAGGACTACTGTGGTTTGAATGTAAATGTCCCTCCAAAATTTATATGTTAGAACTTCAACCCCAAGAAGATAGTATTAAGAGGTGGGGCTTTTGGGAGGTGACTAGGTCATGAGGGATCTGCCTTCACCAATGGGATTAGTTCCTTTATAAAGGAGACCTTTGAAAGCTGCCTGGGACTTCCGTTTCTTTTTCCATGTGAGGACACAGCATTTGTCCCTTTTTGCTTTTCTGTTCTTCCACAGTGTGAGGACACATCGTTTGTCTTCTTCTCCGGAGGATGCAGCAACGAGGTGCCATCTTGGAAGCATCCTGGATCCAAGCACCCTGAGAACAATGCTTCGGCACACACTAAATCTGCCAGCACCTTGATCTTGAACTTTCAAGCCTCCAGATATGTGAGAAATAAACTTGTATTATTTGTAATTACCAAGTCTGGGGCATTTTGTTATAGCAACCCAAATAGACTAAAACAAAGACCTAAATCTTATCCCAGATTGTTTGGATGGGCTCAGTCTAATCACATGCATCCTTAAAAGTTGAGATCCTTTCCTGGCTGCTGTCAAAGAGATGTAATGAAAAAAAAGAAAGAGGAAGATTTGAAGTGTGAGAGGGACCTGACTCACTGTTGCTGACTTTGAAGATGACAGAAAGGGACCATGATCCAAAGAATGTAGACATCCTCTAGAAGCCGGGAACAGCTCTTACCTGACATCAAAAGGAGAAATAGGGACTTCAGTCTTACAATCACAATAAGCTGAATTCTGTTAGCACCCTGAGTGAGCAAGAAAATAGTTTTGTACAGGCTCCATGAAAGAATACAACCAAAACCATGGTTTTAGCCTAGTGAGACGCATGTCAGACTTCTGATGTACAGAACTATAAGATAATAAATCTGTATTATTTAAGTTACCAAAGTTGTAGTAATTTTATGACAACAATAGAAAACTAATGTATATGAATCACATATATATGTGTGTGTGTGTGTGTCTATGTATGTGTATATACACACATACGCAAATGAGCAGGCACACACACACACACACACAATTGTAAACTCCATTATACAATATGATGTTTTTGCTCTCAAGCATTATAAATAGTTTAAGAAACTAAAGAGAATAGAAATAGGGATTATATTTACTCATACATGTATTATTTCTACTGCTCTTCCTTCATTCTTTAATTTTTATGTTTTTATTATTTTTCTTCAGCCAAAAGATATTTAGCTTTTTTTCTTTAGAGAAGGTCTGCTGCCAATGAATTACCTTAGTTTTCTTTCATTTAATAAAGTCTTTATTTCACCTTCATTCTTAACAGATGTTTTTACTGGTTATGGAATTCTGGGTTGACAATTATTTGTATTTATCATGTTAAAAATATTGTTTCACTCTCTTCTGGTCTCAATGACTACTAATTTTTTATTTATCTTTTGTTTTCATCAGTTGATTTTTATGTATATAGGATTTTATTTTTTGCTTATATTGCTGGGGTTCATTGAGCCTCTTGATTCTGTAAATTTTTTATGTCCTTTATTTAATGTGAGATGTTTTAAAATAGTATTTCTTTTATTTTTTGCACCGGGCTCTTTCCTCTCTCCTCAATCTCCAATGACATCAATGTTAGACCTTTTAATATTGTTCCACAAGTCTTCAAGACTCAGTTTATTCCTATGCTATTTTTTTCTTTCCTATACAATTTGAATAATTTGTATTGACCTATATTCAAATTCAAAATATACACTCTCTCATATACACTGAGAGCCTCTAATAAACATTTCTTTTCTTTTTGCATCTTCTTAAGTCTAAAATTGTCATATGATTATTTGTAGTGCTTATCTCTTTGCTGAGAACGTTCACCTTTCCATTCATTTCAAGAGGGTTTGTCTTACTTCATGGACTAAAATGGTGTGACTAATTCCAAACTTAGGGCCATCTTGGGGTTGGCATATGATAATCATCTTTTAAGAGAATTAAGGCTTTTCTGGTTCTTTGTATGTCAAATAATTCTGGAACATTTTACATATAGTGGGACTCTAAGTACTATAAAAAGCCTCTAGAGAATATTGTTAGTTTGTTTTTTGTGTTAGCATGCAATCAAACTAGTTAGATTCAGGTTATAATTCCCAAATCACTGCCTTCTGTGAGTTGTGGTTCCAATATCAGCTTAGCTTTTGTAAGCTGCTTTGCAAGCCCACTTCCAACGTGTATCACCTAGGGACAAGCCTGGGACCTGGGCAGTGGTGTACACCATAATTTAATTATCTAAGCATTTCTATGGTTCTTTGTTTCAGTTGCACAGTGCAGCCCAAGGATTAGCCTAAGTCTTCATACATAAATTTAAAATATTCAGTTATCTCTTCTCTATAGTTTACCTCACACTCTCTGGTTTCCAGGGGCTCTTTTCCTAGACCCTGGCTACAGACTCATTATGTTGTCCACACTTCTTATGTCTGAATCATCCTCTGGACAAAGTAGTGAGTAAAAAAGAGAATAAAAATAATGGTATTCCCTTGACACTCTTCAGAACATGTATATTTCTTTTCCAAATTCATCTGGTGAGAGAGAATTTTCTCTCAGAATTTTAAGCACCTATGCAACTGCTGCTGTCACCCTGCCAACACAGGAATGCACCTTCATAAATGGGGCTTGCCTCCAGTCAGAGCTAGAGGAGTAAAAAGGGAAAGAAGAATTATGGTAATTTTTCCTACATGTACATTTTCTATCTCAGAGAAGCCCATTTCCCAGTCCTCTGCTATGAAAGAGGATTTTTCTTGGAGCTTTCTTTGTCAGTGCACAAAGTGAAATTCCATGGTTTAGGGCACCTAAAATCTAAACCCAGAGATATGGGAAAGAAAAACAAAACAAACCAGGAAACATGGTGATGGCTCATGTCTATAATCCCAGTGCTTTGTGAAGCTGCAGGGGGAGGATCACTTGAGGTGAGGTGTTCCAAACTAGCCTGAGTAACATGGCAAAACTTGTGTCTCAACAAAAGAAAACAAAACAAATCCAGGAAACTTACCACTGTATTGCTCATTTTTCAGATTTTGATTTCTCTAGTAAATCTGTCTGGTATTATTTACTTTTCAGAGTCATCAGATAGTTGCCTTGTGTAATCTGTCCAGGAATTTTAGTTGTTTTCAGTGGAAGAAATAGGGTGGAGTGGGTTTAATCCTTCTTAGCTGAAACTAGAGATTGCTATTTTAAGTTGACATTCACATTGCCTACATTCCTTCACCTCTTTCACTACTCTAAGGTTTCAACTACCAACTTCTTGCTTTGAGGCTCATTTTTTTAGTAATAAATCATATTTTATCATATGACTCCCTAGTACACATCACAATGTTATTTCCATCTTTAATGATGACTATCTCTTAAACAGAAGTGATCCATTTTTTCTTCCCAAACCTGTTTGGGAAAAGCTAGGCTAGTAAAATTAAACAATTCCTTTACTATAGAACTTCTGAAGCCTTTAATATGTTAATCTGGATTCTAAATTTCTAGAAGTGGAATACAGTGCATTGCAATTTCCAAACATATTTAACCTCTAAATATTTTTCCCATGAAACTAAAGTTCTTCAGAACACAATTTGTGAAATAGTCTTACTACTAACTCCACATATCTTACAGCATTTATGTTATTTACCCCAACTTATCTTCCTTCTAAACTTATTAGATGCTATTCTAGGACCAATGTAAGGTGTACCTTTTGTAAATTTAAAGAACTGTTCCAGATCTTTGCTAAAATAATTCTGCTTTTACAACATTAAACATATGCTGCCACACAACATTGCTAAGTATTCTGAAGACAATTCCCAGAAAGAATGTATAGAATGGCTTAATTTTAAACATAGCCTATGAATGTTGTAACTAATTCAGTTAGAGATAGGCACATTTACTAGGCTTTATAAAAATAGCCTTAAAATTAAAGGTGCAAAGATTGGAGGATAATGGCATTGTTTTTATCTTTTGAATGAGATAGCAATAAAAAGATTTGGTAACTGATGAATACCAAGGTAATACATAAGAAAATACTTGACCCAATACTTGAGAAACTCAAGAAGAAAGTAATAAAAATCACCATCATGTAAAAGAAACTCCATATATGAAATATTATGCCAAATGCTTATGGTGCAAATCCGTAGTAGCTTCCGCAGTATCCATTCTTTTTTTCCTGAGAATTCTTGATATAGGTTTGAAAATTTTTGCAATTCTGAGGAGGAGCTAAATATATCAAGATATGACAATAATTACATTACAAATTCCTGAATACCAAGATTATTTGAGGGGTGTCCATGGGATTCAAGATGATATTTAATGTCAGGCTCTCTCCTGGGAATGTTTGAACAAAAGTGACCTCTTTGCTCTGAACTATATATTATACAGATGTGAAACAGTGGAACAAATGTAGCTATTTTCTTCTATGAGTGAATAAAGCCAAGACACAAAGGATGCCAGAATTTAGAAAAATAATTGCTGAGAAATATAGCCAATCTTTGATATTACCTTTTGATTTTTTTCAGTAAAGCAAATTGTATTCATTATGTATTGCTGAATAACAAATTGTCCTAAAACTTATTAAAATAATAATAAGCATTTATTATCTCTTATGTTTTCAATAAGTCCAAATTCAGACTGCACACCATGGGATAACTTATCTGATTCATAATTAGAGGGCCTCAGCTGAAACACTCAAAGCTTGATATCTGTGAGCTGGAGTCATTTGAAGTTTATTCACATGTGCATTTGGACAATGATGCTGGCTGACAGTTGGGGAACTAGCTGGGATCACTGGCTGAAACACCTACACATGGCTTCTCCATGTGGAATAGGCTTTGTCTCACCATGGTAGCTAGGTTCCAAAAGAAAGCATGCAGAGAGAGAGGAGGGAGGCAAGGGAGAGAGGGAGAGAAAGAGGGGGGAGGGAAAGAGAGAGAGAGAGAGAGAGAGAGAGAGAGAGAAAGCTATGTTGCCTATTATGACCTAATCAAAATTCAAGTAAGATTTCCTCTGCTTCATTCTGTTGCATCTCTTACTTGGAGAAGTGTATCCACTTTTTAGGGAAAGGAAATATAAACTTCCATATTTCCATGGAAGTGGTCAATATCACATTACAAGAAGGGCATTGTGAGATACACCTAATGTTAAATGACGAGTTAATGGGTGCAGCACACCAATTGTGGAGTATGTATTGGCAGACCCATCTTTTAAAATGATAATCTACAACATAAACATACATTTATTGCGTATGCCAATTTGAGTTAAATTATTTGTTGTGTGCACTAAAATACACAATTTGCATCACACTTACATATGTTATTTTCATTTAATGTGCACAACATCTCTAGGATAAAGGAACTTTTAGTACATGTATCAGAGTTCTCCAGAGAATCACAACAAATAGGATGATAAGACGGATAACTGATAGATGATAGATAGATAGATAGATAGATAGATAGATAGATACATACATACATACATACATACATACATACATACATAGACAGATGATAGATAGATAGATAGACAGATGATAGATAGATAGATGTAGATTTTACGGAACTGGCTCATGTGATTGTGGGAGTTGACAACTCCCAAATCCATAGGCAGGACAACAGGCTGTAAACTCAGGCGAGAATAATGTTGTAGTCTCGAGTTTGAAATCTACAGAGCAGCTGGCAGGCTAGCAACTCACACAGGAGCTGATGTTACAGTCATAAATTTAAAATCTTTAGGGCAGACCAGTAGGTTGGAGACACAGGCAGCCTTTCTATGTTGTAGCCATGAGTCAGACTTTCTTCTTGGAAGTAAAGTCCTCCTTGGAAACCAAGTTTTTTCTTAACACTTTTGATTCATTGAATGATGTTCACCCACATTATCAAAGGTAATCTCTTCAGTTAAAATCACTGATTACATATGTTAATCACATTTACAAAATACCTTCACAGCAACATCTAAACTACTGTTTGACCAAAACACTGAGCAACATAGCCTAGCCAAGTTGACACATAAAATTTAACCATCACAGCTTACCCCTTGTTAGCTTGGCACCCATACACATGTACTTAAGCCATACTTAATCTCTAAATAAAGACAATAGTGAAGTCATACTTTCAATTAACATGATAGAACTGTCCTGTGTACAAATGAAAACATGCTAGGCAGGGCACAGTGGCTCACGCCTATAATACCAGTACTTTGAGAGGCTGAGGCAAGTGGATTGCTTGAGCCCAGGTGTTCGAGACCAGACTGGATAACAAGGCAAAACCCCATCTCTACCAAAAAAACACACAAAAAAATAGCTGGGCATGGTAGTACATGCCTGTAGTCCCAGCTACTTGGGAGGCAGGGGGAGAATCACCTGAGCCCAGGAGATTGAGGCTGCAGTGAGCCATGATCGTGCCACTGCACTCCAGCCTGAGCAACAGAGCGAGACACTGTCTAAAAAAACAAAAAGCTAACAAACTAACCCTCAGAAGAGGATACAAAGTCCTTCGGCGTCATTCATTCTTCCCTTGATACCCTGTAATTTAAATACTACGGTGTAAACTTAAAAATACCTAAAAACTAGGATGTAAAGTTAATGTATCTTATGTTATGTGATAAGGGGATAAGAGAAGAAAGAAAACAAATATGTTTGCTTAACAACACACATATACATATTTATAACAAAACAAAATACTCATAAAAATTATAGTCTCCATTTCTGCAATTGGTCATATGGTTGTAGTGTTATTTATAATTACTTTCTACTGTCAATTTCATTTCCCCTTTGTCCTCAGCCAGCACCTCTACTAGTCATGGTTCTTTGCCTGGTGGGGTAAACTGGTAAACTAAACATTTATTTCTGGTGCTTTTCACCATTAATAACTCTGCCTGAATTTCGTTGTTGTAGTTTTCACTAGATTTAATCATAGGGAATGATACTATTAAGAGAAGTGCTAAGAGATCTTCTGTATTCTACATACTCATTCTTTCTCACATTGTGTAGTAGCGGTCAATTCTCCCTGGATAAGCAGGATCAATTACATCAGCCAGTACAGTAATTCCCTTCTTTGCCTGTTGATTCAGAGGCATGAGGAACCCAAAGTGGCCAGGTAGCAATCTTAACTTCCAGTTTAAGGAATCATTGTTGTGTCTCCTGGTGGAAACAGTCTTCACTTTGAAACTAAGTCCTTCAGGCCGACAGAGCATAAAGTCTCAGAAATAAGATGCAAAAATCTTGCTAGGGTATCCCTAAAGGTGAGTGGTGCCACTGCCATTTTCACCCATTGATTCCTGGACTCATAAACCCTGGCTATGGGAGAAACAACCCTATACAGTGAACACTGATTCAGAGTGTAGATAGTACCCACTTTGAAAATATTTTAAGATTGAACATCAGAATGTTTAAGAACTATTCTATGGTTACTCAACTAATGAATGGGAAAGAAAATATTTGAAGTCAAGCTCTCTGACATAAAAATATCTTCCATAATAACTCAGTGTGGTGTATTGAGTTTGAGAGTTTTAAAAAGGCTTTCAGCATTGTGGCTACATCTAGATTTGACTCTGGTTACTTCATGAACTACTTTTAGGTTTTAGAAAGTTTTCTATTTACCGTCTCAGCTTCATTCTTCACTCTTCTTTACCCAACTCTGTACGTATAAGCTGGACACTGACTTTATAGACTGCATCAAACAGGCTCCTTTGCCTTCTGGTTTCTGGTTGAGTATTGCCAGAAGGAGATGCAAAGGTGGGAGAAAAGATAAGTCATGGTATTTATTCTCCTGCTCGGTTGTTGATGCTCTGCAATGTGTGCGTGGCTATTTCTCTTGGACAGCTTCATCATCTGCAGAGTTAGACAATGTCTTCTCTTTCGCTGTGGCATTCCTTACAATGTCACCTCTGGGAAAGCAACTTACATTGAAAAAGTTGTGACAATTGGCGGACACTCATATTACCATGTGCCTTAACAATAATAAACAACTGGCTTAAAATAATAGTGGAATAGTCATTTGAAGGCTCATTAATTGTACATGTGAGAAACCATCCTTGGAGTCTTCTGAGGTTTTTACCCCATTAAGATATCTATATCTACCCAAAAGAAAATAGATAGTTATATCAAACAGACAGCTGCACTCATATGTTTCTTTCTCTCTTTCTCTCTTTCTTTCTCTCCCTCTTTCTTTTTCTTTCTTTCTTTTTTCTTCTTTCTTTTTCTTTCTTTTTTTCTTCTTTCTTTCTTTCTTTTTCTTTCTCTCTCTCTCTCTCTTTTTTTCTGTCTCCTTTTCTCTCTTTCTTTTGACAGGATCTCCCTGTGTTGCCCAGACTGGAGTGCAATGGCACTATCATGGCTTACTGCGGCTTCAACTTTTGGGCTCATACGATCCTCCTGCCTCAGCCTCCATGTAGCTGGGACTACAAGCACAGGCGACCATGCCCAGTTAATTATTTTTATTTTTGTAGAGGTTGGGTCTTACTATGTTTCCCAGGCTGGTCTCAAACCTCTAGGCTCAAGTGATCCTCCCACCTTGGCCTCCCAGAGTGCTGGGATTACAGGCGTAAGTCACCGCACCTAGTCAGATTCGTAATAGCATAGACATGGAATCAACCTAATTGTTAATTGACAGATGATTGGATAAAGAAAATGAGGCATATATATATATATATATGTATACACACATATGTATATATGTGTGTGTATATATATACATATGTGTGTATGTATATATACGCACATATATATACATATGTGTGTATATATACACACACATATATATACATATGTGTGTGTATATATATACACACATATATATACACCATCCACCCATTAAAAATGAATGAAATCATGTCTTTAGCAGAAACATGGATGAAACTAGAGGCTGTTATCTTATGCGAAACAACTCAGAAACAGAAGTCAAATACCATATGTTCTCACTTATAAGTTGGAGCTAAATAATGTGTACACATGGACATGGAGTGTGGAGTGATAAACTTTGGAGGCTCAGAAGGATGTGGGGGAGGAAGGACAAAGGGTGACAAGAAATTACTTGATGGTTACAATATACATTATTCAGATGATGGATATACTAAAAACCAAGATTTCACAGCTACGTAATATATGCCTGCAAAAAAATTGCATTTGAACTCCTTAAATTTATATAAATAATAATAATAATACAAAGGTAGAATGGTTGCTTAAGGGTTCATTAGTTATACATCCAACAAACCATCCTGTGAGGCTTCTTAGGTTTATACTTCTTTAAGATGAAGTCTAAATGTTTAACCCATATAGAACCTAAAAGGTGGAGATGAGATGACCCCTTCTTATTATTACCCCAAATAATTCACTTAAGAAATGTATGCTTCTGGCCCCTGAAATATGGAACTTGGTGAACTTGGTGGTCCTGTGCTTAAGGGAGACACGGTTCCATTAGGGGAGCACAGTTAATGTTTGTATTAAATGGAAGCTGAGGCTGGAAACTGGCCATTTTGTACTCCTCATTAAACCAGGAGGGAGAGAAAGACAACATTCTACTGAATGGGTGATTGATCTCAATTACCAAGTGGAAATTGGCTTGCTGCCTCATAATGAGGGCAAGGAGGGTTCTAGTGAATTCTCTCTAAAACTTGAGAATTCACTAGATCACTCCTTAGTTCTCCATTACCCATAACCCTGATCAATAGAAACAATCGAATAAAAACAGAACCACCAATAAGTTCTATTCTGGGAGTTGTGTCTCTCAAAATGATAAAATCCTCAGTCACAGTGCTGATAGATAGTAAGGGTTATGAAGCACACTCGCGATGGTTAATGTGTTATGTTTCTGGGGGAAGTATGACTGAATTGACATTACTGTGTAATGATATAGTCACTGATTAGAATTTCTGTTTCCTGTGTAAGGGACACAGAATTGTCATTCAGAAAAAGCATCAAGAATGGATGCTGAAGGACAAAAGAGGTATTCTGTGGTGGATACTCTGTCCTACCAGAACCACCCTCTACACTTCCTCACCTTCTTGCTGTTACAATCTTCCTTGCTTTGTAGCTTTTGGTTAGGTTTAGTTGATGGAAGGCAATAGAAGATCAAAGAGCAGGAAGAGAGACATCAGTAGAGACTATTTCCTTTATCAGAGACCACAGCTGTTGTCAAGCAGCCCCCTCCCTTGGTTCTGATAAGGACTCCTTTCTCTCTTCCTTCAAGCTCAAGGGTGATAGTATTTTCCTGGGTTATTAGTCCCAGGGTGTTTCACCATCCATGTTAGTTTCCATTAATTTTGTCCACACACGTAAATGATTTATTTATTAAACTCTCTTCAATCACTCTTTTGAAAATGCCATCTATTTCTAACAAATGTATCATTCCAGGCAGTGATGTTATATTCTAAGAAGGCTTGTCCTCATATTTAAACTATGATCCTGTAATCCCCTAAATCCACCTGAAGCTGCTGTAGTTATATGAACCTAGTCCATTCCTGCCTCAATATTCTAGAGTCTGGCTACCTCTGCAAAAGATAAAAAGTGGACATAGGTGGTATTATCACTACTTCAGGATCTAGAGAGTTATCTGCCCCTCTCAAGATACCATGATTTCAAAGGCCAGCAAGCAAAGTTAAACGTACTGCAATTTTAAATGAAAAAAGTTAATACAAATGTTAATCTAAAACAACAAAGTTCTAAAATAAATCAAATTGATAACATGCATAACTGGAAGAAGTTTAAAAAATCACTAAGAATTTAAGGCTAATAAAGAAAAAATTTTCAGAGAAAATTAATTCCAGGACTGTAGCTTAATGTTCTAAGAAAACAGCCATGTAGAACATCCACACTGTGATGCGTGCACCATGTGGGACCTCCCATGCCATTGCCTACTCTGCAACTGCTAATAGAATGGTGTCAGCACAGAGGACACAAAGGAAACTAAATAAAAGGCTCTCTTTGAAATATGCTATTTGGAATAATATACTTTCTTTCTGAACACAGGAGTGCCTTTATTGTAGTGAGTGTCCAGCTTTGCATTACCTCCCACCCAAAGCTAAAACAGCAGGAGAAATCTGAGGAGTCTCCTTTACTGCATGAAATCATGAATTTCTGTGTATCCAGTGCTACAGAAGAATGAATTGAGCACTGACCCTATGGCAAGCATTTCTGAGACAACTCAAGAAATATAGAGCTACAATAAACATTCCTCTTTCTGATGAGATAGAAAACTGAATTTATAATTTATTTAGTATTTTTTTTTAAATCAAATAGAATCTAGCAGAAGCTGAAACTTCGACAGCTTACATTAATTAAGATACGGTGAATGGGAATCCCTCTATATGAGTTCTTCTAAAAAGTGTCAACAGTGGACAATGCATGGAACCAGATATATTCATAAATTTTATTTTAAAGTAATGATTTTTGCAATAATAGTATGTTATCAGCACTGAACCCTACTTAAAGAAAATATACCCAGAAGTCATACATCTAACTCCTCAAGTTTATGTCATGTTGAATTTGTAAGCATTATAAGTTGTGAGTTACCAAAGTGAAGATGTAAAATTTACCCCGTGCTCATTTTCACTTTCTTGTGAATTACCCCTTGCTAATTTTCAGTATCTTGTTTAGAGCAGACTCGGGCATGTATAATATGCAGGATGATCCATGGCAAAATGTCTGGTCCTAACTTCTATTCCTTTCTCTCCACCTTCGCTTGCAATATTTTCCTTCTAGCAAAATGTACCTAAAAGGCCACCAACAGCAGCTTTTAATGAGAGAAAACCTGACCAAAAAGAAAAAGGTAGGAATTTCAGAATTAAGATTTGGCAGTCCTTTCCCTTCATTTGATGATGGAAAAAGATTTGGTCTTACTGATACTATGCTTTAATGTAGAAGAAACATGGCACTCCAAGGAAATCAGATCTAGTTATCTCTTACTATTAGATGTGGATTTTCTCAACTTTTTTCTATCCTGGCTTTTTAATAAAAAAGAAAAACCAATGAATACTTCAGAAAATTTTTTGAGATAAATGCATGTGAGTTACAAATATATATATTCCAGATCTATTGTATGGAAATAAGGTTCCTAGAATTAAGATGCCCTGTTTGGTTTATTTTTATAATTTTTATAGAATGGATTCTTTAATCTGCTATTTTTCTAGTCGTCCTTATATTCTACCATGTACTAATATGAAAACTTGTAAAGATTTTCTATTAGAATTTTTTGGTTTGTGGAGACTGAAAGTTAATATGACTGAAGTCAATAAGATTAGAAAGATACTCCAGAGGGGGTGGATATTATGTATTATTTCTGGGGAGAAAAATTATTAGTGTTTCTCCTTATCTCTTTTGAAAAACCAAATTTTAAAAATTATAAGCAACAAATAAGCAACAAAATACTGAAACTATTTAGGAAATTTAAAATATCATTACTTCATAAATACTTCCTTTAGTCTCTCAGTCATTTCAAAAATAGAATGTAAGAAGCATACAAAATAGTTGAGACAAAGTCACAAAGATATAATTTTGAATAAGCATCAGCATTGGCTGAACACTTCAGAAAACAATTGTTGATGATATGCACACTTAGCCTTTTCATTCCAAGGGCATGAAAGAAAATGGAGAGCAGTTGAGGAAATGGCTAGACAATGCCTAATATAATAACTAAAAAACTAATCCCTGGATATTTTGAATTAGCCAAATAATAGCCAACACAGATACAGAGAGAAAAATCCTGCACACTCGACTTTCTAAATTTGCATCAAATTATAAAATTTGGAAACAACAGCTTGTTAATTTATCAGAAAGGAGCTTATATTTAAATAAATCTTCTACATTTAAAGATGAGAAAAATGAGAGTCAATGCTGTTATTAGGTTGGTAACATAGCTACATTTTCTGTCTCTCTCTCTCTCTCTCTCTCTCTCTTTCTCTCTCTCTCTACCTAGCTCTCTAAATTGGTTACTCACCATAACCATGGGATAAAAACAAATCGATTACTCATAAAAAGGACAATTTTTGTATGGTATTCAGATTAGTCATGAATATCTTGCAGGCATCTTCATCAAATAACAGGCAATATCAAGAAGCTTAGAGAGGGTAACTGAGTTGCCTAAGATCACACAGCCAATAAGAAATTATATCCGGTGTTCTTCACTGTTGTTTTAAGTGTGAGTAGAGTCTTCAATAGTTTACCAAGATTTGAATATCAAATCAATGTTGGTGAATAGGATACAAATTACATGAGATAAATCAAAGACCATTATTTTTGTAAACTCTGAAAAGAACTACAGATAACTACAAATAGAGTGTGTATATTTCATGTGGCCCAGTGGTTTAATTAAAAAAAGAATTTTAAATAGTTTGAAGATGTCATATCTTAATCAGCTGAAGAGCTATGCATAGACAAATATCAAAGTATAAGGAAAAATCTGGACTATAATTGAAATATTTCCTTGTTTTTCCATCATACTGCTTCACACTTACACTACAATGAAGCAACTTGGTTTCAACTGAATACTTAAACTCCTCAACAAATAGTTTAATTTTTGGATTAAATTTCAATTGTGCATATCATAGATTTCTATAAATTTTATATAATTTCTCAAGTTCACTATGAATATCTTCTATGTGCCAGACATTGTGCTGGAGACTGGCATATTGGACAATATTTAAGCTATGATGGCACTGCTGTATTATTTGACCTGCTCTGGGCCACTTTGAATGAATTTATCAGAATTCTATGACAAGAAAATGAAAAGAACAAATCATAGCTGACAGTAATAAAACATGCCTGAGCTTTGATTGATTACACTCACAGTCATACACAAAAGAGGCTTTCCTTCAATGTTCACTATGAGGACATTAATAAAAAATATAATGCAGGGATGGTCAATTCTAGACTGCTGCCAAAATATAAAGAAACAGGTAATTATTTTCCAGGTATTGGCCAACCATCATTACTCATCCTTTTCTTCCCAGGCAAGCATTACATTTATGTCTACCTTTTGGTGTTTGGAAATATTCTTTGTAGTTATATGTGTTCTTCAAAAGGTCTGAATTCATGTTTGGTAGAACAAATCTTGCATGAACTACATAGGTCCAGCGATTTAGATTTCTTAGGATTCTCTTCCTCCTCAATCACACTCCTTCATTTTCTACCCAATACTCTCTAGTGCAGCGCTTACCAAACCTCAGTGTACATCAAAATCCTAAGGAAAGTTTGTTAAAATACAGATTTGGGAGCCTTTCTCAAAAATTTTGAGACATTAGGTTAGAGAAGAGAATCAAGAAGCTGCATTTCCTACAAGTAATACTGACGCTGCCCGTCTACCAACCAGACCTTGAGTAGCAATACTCCAGTGGCTTGCTACAGAAAGTGTGCTCTGCAGACCAACAGCATCACCATCACCTCAAAGTTTGTTAGAAATGCAGAATTTTGGCTCAACCATAGATCTACAAAATGCTTTCCTCAGGCAGAGTCATTGGGTGAAATTATACACCCATAGGATATAATGTCATTGCTAGTAGACAGAAAGCATAGACCCTTTAATCTTCTAGGACCTATGCTCAGTTTACTTGCCTATGGGTTAGGCCTGTGTTTGCTTGTGGCAGTTTGCAAATGTAGCCACAATACTTGTAGCCACTGCCATAAAGGGATGAAGTCTGTATCCTTGTTTCTTGAATCTGGACAGGCCATGTCATTTGTTTTGATCCACAGAATGCACTGAAATTGGCACTAGGAAAATACAAACCAAGGCTTTAAGAAACCTAGCAGCGTCTTCTCTTGATGTTCTAGGGACTTCTGCTACTGGCATCATATGAAAAAAGCTCAGGCTAGCCTGCAGAATGATAAGGCACATGTGACCCACTGTTACCCTAATCCACAGTCTGCCAAGCCCAGAAGAAGAATTGCCTATTTGACTGGCAGCTGACTACAGTTACATGAGTGAATCTAGTAAGGTCAGCAGAAGAACTGCACAGCGGAACCCAGACAATAATAGCCATGCTACAAAATTGTGAGCTAAATATATGGTTGTTGGTTTGAGTCACTAAGATTTGAGGTGGTTTGTATATAGAAAAAGATACTGATATTTGCTTCCCCTTAATAATTTCCTTCAAGACCTATGAAGACTAATAAAAAGAGAATTATGATAGAGCAGGCTCTGAGGTTTCTCCTGTTATTAATTGCTTGGCTCTATTTTCTTCCACTAGGTGAGAAATAATCATTGAGAATAGATCAAAAACCAAATTGTAATTTTTTAGCAAATAAAAGAAGCAAACAGCAATCCAAAAAATTCAAAAAAACCTGTCTTACTTTTATAAATCACATATAGGAAAAATATTGAATGTTGAATGTGTTCTTGCAGGATATAGAAGAATTCATTTGGGAAATCAAAGTCAATCGTCAAGAAGGAGCCTCAGGAGTGGCTGTTATAGGCACTCACAACCTCTATTTCCTTGGATCTCTATGGCACCAAGGGCTTGCAAGCGTTTCCTGATATATTCAGATTGATTTGGCAAAGTTTTAGCCTCACGGTCTGGACATATTTCTCTTATAAGATAGTACAAATATAAAAAGATGCCAAATTTTCTCAGATAAATTCCTTGTTATTAGCCAAATTACTACTAAGATTTTATTAAAATTGTCTTCAATTAGAAAAGCTAACATTTGAGTGCATTTAGTAATATAAGCAGTAGGAAATAAGAAAAAATTACTAAACAGTAATAACAATGGGAAATTTCACTAAGAAAATTTTGCAAAAAAAATCTGAAGCTACTAAAATTAAATCAGGATAAAACTTGCACAAAAAGAGACAAATCTATGTATAAAATTAAAGCCTGTAAACAGACCCTGTTTTATATGAGAATTGAACATTTGATGAAGGACAAATCAGTAAATTCTATCACATATTAAATCTATTATGAAGCTATACTTATCTAATAATGTAGTGTTGATGCTTAAGTAGACAGAACAATGGAAAACAATATAGTTCATTATAAGACACAATTTACTATATGTTAAATGAAGCTGGCATCCCATATAAGTGGAAAACAGATAACTTGATCATTAAGGAGTGCTTGGTTAAATGTGTAAAAAAAATTAAGTTATAATCTATCATACCTTATACACAAAATATATATCCATATGATCAAAGTTTAAATCTTAATTAAAAAGTTAATTATATATAACAAAAAACTGGAAAAATTCTATTATTGATTGAAAATGACATTCTAATGTATAACAATGAAACCAGAAACGAGTAAAGAAAAAAAATGATATAATAAGCTACAATAATAAACAAAAAATATGCTTGACAAAACTTAGCTTAAGTAAAATTAAAAGAAGAAAAGGGTAATTCTTGAAAAATATAGAAAAAAACTTCCCACAAAAAATAAAAGTGGTTTTAAACATATGTAAAGATGTTAAAATCTCATTCATAGTAAAATAAATGCAAAATAAAACAAGATATTTATTTTGTTTAGACAGATGAAGATCAAAAATGTTGTTACTCAGGGAATAAACAGTAACAGGGGAAAGTAAACCAGTATTCCCTTACAGAGGGCAATTTGAAAATATCAGTCAAAATTACAATCCATACAACATTTTACTCAGCATTTCAACTTTTAAAAAGTATTCCTTCAGCTATAATTGCATGTGAACAAAGTGATATATTTAGGTTTATAATTAAAGACTTATTTGAAATGATAAAGGAATCTAAATAGAATATATGTTTGTCAATAAAGGACTGGATAAGTAAGTTGGGATATTATGAAGCTATTATAATAAATTAGACAGTTCAGATGAAATGGATATGGAATTATTACCAAGATGTACATTTTTAAGTGGAAAACAAATTGAGGTCCATAACAGCTTGTGTAGTATGCTATCAACTTCAATTTTCAAATAACATATATGTACTGAATAAATTTGCATACAATTAAATAAAAACATGCAAATAAAAATGGTAAGAATGGTTGTGGTGCAAAAGAAAGGTGAAAAATTGGAGAACATGAATAGGTGGAAGACTTCATTTCCAACATTAATTCTTTTTAATTTTTTAAATATAAGTATCTATTTGTAGACATTATCATTACTAATAATAATTTGAAACAAATTCATATAAAAGTATTTAAATGTGGTCCTAGAGCTATTTGTTAGTTACTTGGAAAAATGCATTTTAGAGCTTCAATTTATACCTAATCAAAATAAATGCCAGGTGGCTGGTAAATTATGGGAAAACAAATAAATAAAGTTCAAATTTTTAGAAAAAAATACATATTCATGTAAGCTATAAAAGAGAATAAAACTTTCTAATTTTAAAAATAATATCAAATTACATGAAATTACCACTAGATTTGACAACATTGAAAAGTCTATTTATATTTAAAAAGAATAACAGTTAAATGAAGAACAAATATGAAAGTTTGCAGCAGATGTGTTAACTGTGTTTAATACCCTTGATGAATGAAAAGCTTATATGAGTTTCTGAAGAAAAAAATCAGGATACAAATTGATTACTAGAAAAATGAATCCAAATGTACTATTCATTAATAAAGAAAATCCATTATATGAAAAAATTCACATGAATTTGTAGTCAAAGAAATGAAAATTAAGGCAATAACAAATTCTCCAATTAAATTAACAAAGATATTTAAAATGTGATGCATTTGAAATCAAATTAACCCTAAAACACTGCTGGTATATATGTATATATATATATATTTTTTTTTCTATTATTTTAAGTTCTGGGATACATGTGCAGGACATGCAGATTTGTTACACAGGTAAACATGTGCCATGGTGGTTTGCTGCACCTATCAACCTATCACCTAGGTATTAAGCCCCACATGCATTAGCTATTTATCCTGATGCTCTCCCTCCCCTGCACTCCCCATCTGGACAGGCCCCCGTGTGTGTGTTGTTCCCCTCCCTGTGTCCATGTGTTCTCATTGTTCAGCTCCCACTGATAAATGCGAACATGCAGTGTTTGATTTTATGTTACCGTGTAATGGCTTCTCACTCCCTCCATGTCCCTGCAAAGGACACAATCTTGTTCCTTCTTATGGCTGCATAGTATTCCATGGTGTATATGTACCACATTTGCTTTATCCTTTCTATCATTGATGGGCATCTGGGTTGATTCCATGTCTTTGCTTTTGTGAATATTGCTGTAATAAACGTACATATGCATGTATCTTTATAATAGAATGATGTGTGTTCCTTTGACTATATGCCCAGTAATGAGATTGCTGGGTCAAATGGTATTCCTGGGCTATTCCCGTTAAACTACTATTAATATTCTTCACAGAATTATAAAAAACTACTTTAAAATTTATATGGAACCAAAAAAGAGCTCGTATAGCCAAGACAATTCTAAGCAAAAAGAACAAAGCTGGAGGCATCATGTTACCTAACTTCAAACTATGCTACAAGGCTACAGTAACTAAAGCAGCATGGTACAGATACAAAAACAGTCACACAGACTAATGGAACAGAAGAGAGATCTCAAAAATAAGACCACACATCTACAACCATCTGATCTTCGACAAACCTGACAAAAAACAAGTAATGGGGAAAGGATTCCCTATTTAATAAGTGGTGCTGGGAGAACCAGGCAGCCATATGCAGAAAATTGAAACTGGACCCCTTCCTGACACCTTATACAAAAATTAAATCAAGATTTACTTAAATGTAAAACACAAAATTATAAAAACCCTAGAAGAAAATCTGGTATATATATTTTTAAAGAAAATGATCAGCAAATGTATAACAACTTTGACAAAACCTTTTTTTATGAATATTTTCTTGTGACGTAAACTAATAGCTTAATAAGGACTTACACACACAAATATTCAGAGTAATTTTATTTATATTCTGAAACTGGAAACAATGTAATACCTGTTAAATGAATTACTATGGGTTTTCAGGTAATTAGGGAATTGGGATTTGAAGTTGGTTAGGGCAAAATCAAGCCAACGTTTCTCTATCAAATTGCTTTACTGCCAAAAGCAGAGGATACAAAAATCAGAAAGACAAGTCTACTAGCACGTAACCTTGGATCAGAAAAATAGTGAGACTGAGTTGGTGCAACCTAACCTAAAGCAGTCAAATGTTTTTAAAACTATCAAGATCATTTTCTAAGTTTTACAGGGTTAACACATAATGTTCTTATCTGTAAGTGATCACTCACACAGAGACACTCAACTTTTCCTAAAATTCGCAAATTATGGTTTTAATATCTCAGTAGTTAACAACAAATTTTTCAACTCGATTTTTTCTGATAATGAACATTCATCATTTTCTGATCCAACTAATCGTTGTTTAAGTTAGAAGTCAGCTATCCCAATTATGTAGTATATGTGAAATGGAATATCATACAGACATTACATATTAAGTTTGTTGAGGGGGTTCATAACAATTAAAAATGTGATTGTGTAAAAAGCAGGATACATGGCATCAGTAAAGACAATTTATTTTTTTAAAAGGACACTAAAAATAGCAGTGGCTACCTGTGGGTGGCAAGGATTATAATTTACCACATAGACAACTTTATGAAATACTCATATAATTTTAAAAATAAAATATGTTTAATTTTCATGGTTCGTTGTGAGACTTTTTAGTAACAACACAGAATCAGCCAATTGGGAACACTTTGGGAAAACCATAAAAGAAGCAATGGAGATGTTAGCTACGGTTCTATTTTATAACCCCAGCTCCTTCTCCTGACTTTCCACTATTCTTCCAAGAACTTAAACTCCCTGTTTGCTTTAACTCCTTCTTCTGTTTGCCTTGCACATCTTTCCCTCCACAACTCTCCGCTATTTCCTGTTCCATTGTTGATCAGTTAATTCTGTTGTTTTATTTTTCTTTGCTTTTTCCAAGTGACAATCAGAAGTCAGTTTCCTAATCTGAAGTCCAAGTTAATCTTGCATTCACTTTTTTTTCATGTTTCCAGGCTATATTTTCAAGAAATATTTTTATGGTTAAAAATTTTAGGATTAATGGGAGACATTTCTTTAATTATAAAAACCATGCTTACCCCTACATTGCCTTTTTTCCCTGATTTTGGAATACTTACAAGCAAGATGTTGGCCCTGTAGAACATCCTCATTAGCGTATTACCCTTCTCTCATATTTTCCTGCTCTTTGGCATTTTCACCTATGTTATGAGAGATTTCCTTCGTTTTAACTTCCAGATTACCAGTTTGGTCATTAGCCCTAATCAGTCTATTATTGCATCTATTCATTAATTGTATTTTTAATATTGGTAACCAAATTTTTAATTTCAAAGACCTCTTTATATTTTCTGCTTCATTCTCATTGCAGTCTTTTCTAGTTTTACTACTGAAATACATTCTCAAATCTCCCAGATGATTTTAAGTTCTCTCCTACCTCTTCCAAGGAATTACTTGAATATTCTTATTTATGCTATGAATATTCCCCAAGAGTTTGTTCATACTGATGCATCAAGGGCTGTTAATGGGAATAGATAGATGGCACATATTTCATTTAGAGTTGTGTACGTCTATTTCCTTAACAGGACTCACTCATAAATGGTAAAGCTGACAGCACTAGGTTTTCCTCTTGGGCAACCTTGGAAATAATAGCTCACACCTCTAATGCTTCAGGTTATTGTGTTTCCTGAATGGTTTTCCCTACTGGTTCTGTATTCCAAATTCTATTTTCCAAGATTTCTACTGTCTTCTGGCTTCCTTTCTTTTTTTTAGTAATTTGGGCTTTATTATTTTTCTTAATTTATATATTTTTCCAACGGGAGTTTGAAGGAAGATGAGATATATGAGTGTTCTCCAACTCGCATCCTTATAGTTCTATGTAACCTTTTAAAGTTTCTAATCACATTCTGCTTTGTATTACCTTTATGTACAAATATGTGATGTAGCATATCATAAGTTCCTTGATTCTTCTGGATCATTATGCATTAGTCACAACACCTGACAGAACACTATTTTTTTAGTTTGTATTAAGCAAATACTAATTGCCAGATTCTATCTCTAAAATATTTTTATACGTGTTTCTCTCACTTCACTCTCCGTACGATAGTCAAACGTTGTTCACCTCTTTCTTGTGATGTATATACAGCCAACGACTGTTCCCAACACTTCCAATCTCTCCTCCTTTCAGTCCACATTGCTACCAAAGTTAATCATCCTGAAACTGAACCCTGATTATATTATTTCTGTGCTCCAAAGTCTCCAATAGCCTATGATATTAATTCCAGAAACTTAGCCTAACATACAAAATTCTCCATTATTTAAGTACAACACAGTTTTCCAGCTTAGGTTATTAAAATTGCCTTACAGCTTGCCTTGCTAATAGGCCAAGCACTTTCGTCTTTTTAAACATCTCGCACCTCTCCTGTCTCACCCATTCTTACATATTCCAAATCCTGTCCAGCTTTCAAGTGGAGCTCAAGTGCCACCACCTCCACAAAACTTTTTTTCTTTCCAGTTATCTTTGCTTTCTCTGAATCTATATAACTACTTAACAGTACTATTGTTATAAAACTTCCTTTTTTAAATTTTTAATGTATCTATTTTATAGTCATTCCCAGAAAGCAGGCTTATTGAAGATAAAATCTGAGTCATTATTTGTGTAACCTGTCATAACAGTTAACACAGGAACTTGTGGGGCAAAAAACATTTTTTCATTAAAAATAACAATAAAATCAGATATCAAGTACTCACATTAATAAATGGAACAGCTCTGCTAGAAGTTATTAAAATCCAGGTAGTTCAAACTTTATTAATTATCAGCTTTCAAATTATTCACTCCTTACTCTTAAGAAGCATTACAAAATAAACTGATCTTCTTTCGAATTAAAAAAAGGATTTTTAGAGACACATGATAGGATCCTAGAATGCAGTTTCTCATTATTCACAGTTAAATGCATCTCTGGCCATTCATGTGCTTCTTTTCTCCTAACAAACACAAACAGTCAAAATATATCATCCAAAACAAAATTTCATTCAGAAGCTGATGTTTATATAAAATACATATACTATAAAAGTTCCTAGCATAATCCCTGGCACATACTGCTCAATAACTATTGAATTGACAATGAATGGGAATTCTTGGGAGAATGTTCTTCACTTTGAAGGAAAACAACATATTTAAAAACACACATTTGCACAAATGATAAAGTTTAAAGTTATTTCAAAAAAAGTTATCCTATGAATATTATTTATACATATCAATTATTCAAGGCATGATGAAATTTGTCAAATAATGATATAACTAAAATTTTATAGAGCACAGCATACAAAATGAGATATAATTTATACTGAAAACTTATTTCAAGAACAGAACATGGTAAATTTCACTATGCCTGGGGCATGGAAAGCTACAAAAGAACAATGTTGCTCCTCTAATAAGAAAAAAGAGCAGGATTCTCTCTATCATCAAAACTATTCTTGAGCCCATCAGAGAGTTGAGATTGCAAGCCAACTACATGAATCAAATTTCAAGGTTGGCGAATCCCTGTAAGCAGTGATATAACATAGGAAGTTTTCTTTTCACAGAATGTGGAAAGAAGAGGTAGTAACCATGAAAAATGGGTAAGAAAAAACTGCTGAAATTATAATGATTATATAAGAGTGAAGCATGGTTAGCATGAAAGTTTACAATGCCTATAAGCCTCAGAAGTTTGCACCTACTCACCAGCTCTTTTCCAGAATCCACAGGACGTTCGTAAGAAAGGTTAGGGACAGAGCCAAAGGCCAGAGAAAGGCTTTCTCAGTGGCACACAGGCACAAAATCTCACCTGCTTTCCAGTCTCTTCTCTCAAAAAAAGCAAAAGCATAGACTGCTGCTGGAAAGACAGGAAATCCTTTCAACTCCTGGGAACAAGGGAAATATTTGCTGCTTTTGAGGGAGGAGTATAAGCAAGAGCCAATTGCAACTGAGGAAAGAGCTGAAAGATCTGCTACTGGTCCCACCCGAAGGTATGCTTCCTGTGAAGGAGGAATAGAAGGAAAAGCCTCTACTACTGCAGAAGGATAGGAAACTGCTTGGGTCAAGGATTCCGCATAGATACAAAGCAGAGTGCCACTAATGTTAGGAAAGGGGTAGAAAATTTGTTCCTGTGCAAGGCCTTCCATGATGCAAAACAGAGTTCAGCTGCTATAGGGGTTGAAGAGGAGAGAGAATGTGCAAAAATGTTGACAATGTGTTAACCCTTAAGTCCAAGAATACAGTGACAGCCTAAGACCAAGACTTGACTGAGAAACTTTTGCATCACTACCATGGGCCTCAGAACAAATGATTAAGAAGCAACAACAGCACTATTCACAATAGTAAAGACATGGAATCAACCTAAATGCCAATCAATGACAGACGGGATAGAGAAAATGTGGTACATATACGCCATGGAATACTGTGCAGCCATAAAAAGGGACAAGGTCATGTCCTTTGCAGGGACATGAATGGAGTTGTAGGCCATTATCCTTAGCAAACTAACACAGGAACAGAAAACCAAATACTACATGTTCTCATTTCTAAGTGGGAGCTGAACAATGAGAACACATGGACACATGAAGGGGAAAAATCCACACTGGGGCCCACCAGAGGGCAGAGGGTAGGAGGAGAAAGAGGCTCAGAAAAAATGACTAATGGATACTAGGCTTAATATATGTGTGATGAAATAATCTGTACAACAAACCCCCATGATACACGGTTACCTATGTAATAAACCTGCACATTCTACACATAGATGCCTGAACTTAAAAGTTAAAAAAAAGCAACAACAATCTGCCACTTGCAAAGGTATGCTGATTTCCAGGCAAATGCTATATCCTTTGTTATATCTTTTATCCTTTTTTTTTTTTTTTTTACAAAAAAGGTGACATACAGTCAATAACTGTGAAACACACACCAAAAAAAAAAAAAGAAAGAAAAATTACTCATTCCTACAAAAAAACAACAGAACCAAACCAAGAAACTATGCAAACATTGGAACTATCAAACAGAAGTGTTAAAATAACTGCAAAGGACACTTTAAAACATCTAGTTGGGGGAGGACAACATGTATGAACAGAGAGGTAATTTCCATAGAGACATAGGAACTATAAACAAAGCCACTTGAAAATTCTAGGTATCATGATATCAGAGGTAAAGAATTCCTCTAATGGGAGAAGCCAAGATGGCCGAATAGGAACAGCTCCGGTATACAGCACCCAGCGTGAGCCACGCAGAAGACGGGTGATTTCTGCATTTCCATCTGAGGTACCGGGTTCATCTCACTAGGGAGTGCCAGACAGCGGGCGCAGGTCAGTGGGTGCGCGCACCGTGCACGAGCCAAAGCAGGGCGAGGCATTGCCTCACTCAGGAAGTGCAAGGGGTCAGGGAGTTCCCTTTCCTAGTCAAAGAAAGGGGTGACAGACGGCACCTGGAAAATCGGGTCCCTCCCACCCAAATACTGCGCTTTTCCGACGGGCTTAAAAAACGGCGCATCAGATTATATCCCGCACCTGGCTCGGAGGGACCTACGCCCACCGAGTCTCGCTGATTGCTAGCACAGCAATCTGAGATCAAACTGCAAGGCGGCAGCCAGGCTGGGGGAGGGGCGCCCGCCATTGCCCAGGCTTGCTTAGGTAAACAAAGCAGCCTGGAAGCTCCAACTGGGTGGAGCCCACCACAGCTCAAGGAGGCCTGCCTGCCTCTGTAGGCTCCACCTCTGGGGGCAGAGCACAGACAAACAAAAAGACAACAGTAACCTCTGCAGACTTAAATGTCCCTGTCTGACAGCTTTGAAGAGAGCAGCCATTCTCCCAGCACGCAGCTGGAGATCTGAGAACGGGCAGACTGCCTCCTCAAGTGGGTCCCTGACCCCTGACCCCTGAGCAGCCTAACTGGGAGGCACCCCCCAGCAGGGGCAGACTGACACCTCACACGGCCAGGTACTCCAACAGACCTGCAGCTGAGGGTTGTGTCTGTTAGAAGGAAAACTAACAAACAGAAAGGACATCCACACCAAAAACCCAGCTGTATATCACCATCATCAAAGACCAAAAGTAGAAAAAACCACAAAGATGGGGAAAAAACAGAGCAGAAAAACTGGAAACTCTAAAAAGCAGAGTGCCTCTCCTCCTCCAAAGGAACTCAGTTCCTCACCAGCAACAGAACAAAGCTGGATGGAGAATGACTTTGACGAGCTGAGAGAAGAAGGCTTCAGACAATTAAATTACTCCGAGCTATGGGAGGACATTCAAACCAAAGGCAAAGAAGTTGAAAACTTTGAAAAAAATTTAGAAGAATGTATAACTAGAATAACCAATACAGAGAAGTGCTTAAAGGAGCTGATGGAGCTGAAAACCAAGGCTCGAGAACTACGTGAAGAATGCAGAAGCCTCAGGAGCCGATGTGATCAACTGGAAGAAAGGGTATCAGCAATGGAAGATGAAACGAATGAAATGAAGCGATAAGGGAAGTTTAGAGAAAACAGAATAAAAAGAAATGAGCAAAGCCTCCAAGAAATATGGGACTATGTGAAAAGACCAAATCTTTGTCTGATTGGTGTACCTGAAAGTGACGGGGAGAATGGAACCAAGTTGGAAAACACTCTGCAGGATATTATCCAGGAGAACTTCCCCAATCTAGCAAGGCAGGCCAACATTCAGATTCAGGAAATACAGAGAACGCCAGAAAGATACTCCTTGAGAAGAGCAACTCCAAGACACATAATTGTCAGATTCACCAAAGTTGAAATGAAGGAAAAAATGTTAAGGGCAGCCAGAGAGAAAGGTCGGGTTACCCTCAAAGGGAAGCCCATCAGACTAAGAGCAGATCTCTCGGCAGAAACTCTACAAGCCAGAAGAGAGTGGGGGCCAATATTCAACATTCTTAAAGAAAAGAATTTTCAACCCAGAATTTCATATCCAGCCAAACTAAGCTTCATAAGTGAAGGAGAAATTAAATACTTTACAGACAAGCAAATGCTGAGAGATTTTGTCACCACCAGGCCTGCCCTAAAAGAGCTCCTGAAGGAAGCGCTAAACATGGAAAGGAACAACCGGTACCAGCCGCTGCAAAATCATGCCAAAATGTAAAGACCATCGAGACTAGGAAGAAACTGCATCAGCTAACGAGCAAAATAACCAGCTAACATCATAATGACAGGATCAAATTCACACATAACAATATTAACTTTAAATGTAAATGGACTAAATGCTCCAATTAAAAGACACAGACTGGCGAGTTGGATAAAGAGTCAAGACCCATCAGTGTGCTGTATTCAGGAAACCCATCTCACGTGCAGAGACACACATAGGCTCAAAATAAAAGGATGGAGGAAGATCTACCAAGCAAATGGAAAACAAAAAAAGGCAGGGGTTGCAATCCTAGTCTCTGATAAAATAGACTTTAAACCAACAAAGATCAAAAGAGACAAAGAAGGCCATTACATAATGGTAAAGGGATCAATTCAACAAGAAGAGCTAACTATCCTAAATATATATGCACCCAATACAGGAGCACCCAGATTCATAAAGCAAGTCCTGAGTGACCTACAAAGAGACTTAGACTCCCACACATTAATAATGGGAGACTTTAACACCCCACTGTCAACATTAGACAGATCAACGAGACAGAAAGTCAATAAGGATACCCAGAAATTGAACTCAGCTCTGCACCAAGCGAACCTAATAGACATCTACAGAACTCTCCACCCCAAATCAACAGACTATACATTTTTTTCAGCACCACACCACACCTATTACAAAATCGACCACATGGTTGGAAGTAAAGCTCTCCTCAGCAAATGTAAAAGAACAGAGATTATAACAAACTATCTCTCAGACCACAGTGCAATCAAACTAGAACTCAGGATTAAGAATATCACTCAAAACTGCTCAACTACATGGAAACTGAACAACCTGCTCCTGAATGACTACTGGGTACATGACGAAATGAAGGCAGAAATAAAGATGTTCTTTGAAACCAACGAGAACAAAGACACAACATACCAGAATCTCTGGGATGCATTCAAAGCAGTGTGTAGAGGGAAATTTATAGCACTAAATGCCCACAAGAGAAAGCAGGAAAGATCCAAAATTGACACCCTAACATCACAATTAAAGGAACTAGAAAAGCAAGAGCAAACACATTCAAAAGCTGGCAGAAGGCAAGAAATAACTAAAATCAGAGCAGAACTGAAGGAAATAGAGACACAAAAAACCCTTCAAAAAATTAATGAATCCAGGAGCTGGTTTTTTGAAAGGATCAACAAAATTGATAGACCGCTAGCAAGACTAATAAACAAAAAAAGAGAGAAGAATCAAATAGACGCAATAAAAAATGATAAAGGGGATATCACCTCCGATCCCACAGAAATAGAAACTACCATCAGAGAATACTACAAACACCTCTACACAAATAAACTAGAAAATCTAGAAGAAATGGATAAATTTCTGGACACATACACTCTCCCAAGACTAAACCAGGAAGAAGTTGAATCTCTGAATAGACCAATAACAGGATCTGAAATTGTGGCAATAATCAATAGCTTACCAACCAAAAAGAGTCCAGGACCAGATGGATTCACAGCCGAATTCTACCAGAGTTACAAGGAGGAACTGGTACCATTCCTTCTGAAACTATTCCAATCAATAGAAAAAGAGGGAATCCTCCCTAACTCATTTTATGAGGCCAGCATCATCCTGATACCAAAGCCGGGCAGAGACACAACCAAAAAAGAGAATTTTAGACCAATATCCTTGATGAACATTGATGCAAAATTCCTCAATAAAATACTGGCAAACCGAGTCCAGCAGCACATCAAAAAGCTTATCCACCATGATCAAGTGGGCTTCATCCCTGGGATGCCAGGCTGGTTCAATATACGCAAATCAATAAATGTAATCCAGCATATAAACAGAACCAAAGACAAAAACCACATGATTATCTCAATAGATGCAGAAAAGACCTTTGACAACATTCAACAACCCTTCATGCTAAAAACTCTCAATAAATTAGGTATTGATGGGATGTATTTCAAAATAATAAGAGCTATCTGTGACAGAGCCACAGCCAATATCATACTGAGTGGGCAAAAACTGGAAGCATTCCCTTTGAAAACTGGCACAAGATAGGAATGCCCTCTCTCACCACTCCTATTCAACATAGTGTTGGAAGTTCTGGCCAGGGCAATTAGGCAGGAGAAGGAAATAAAGGGTATTCAATTAGGAAAAGAGGAAGTCAAATTGTCCCTGTTTGCAGATGACATGATTGTATATCTAGAAAACCCCATTGTCTCAGCCCAAAATCTCCTTAAGCTGATAAGCAACTTCAGCAAAATCTCAGGATACAAAATCAATGTACAAAAATCACAAGCATTCTTATACACCAACAACAGACAAACAGAGAGCCAAATCATGAGTGAACTCCCATTCACAATTGCTTCAAAGAGAATAAAATACCTAGAAATCCAACTTACAAGGGATGTGAAGGACCTCTTCAAGGAGAACTACAAACCACTGCTCAAGGAAATAAAAGAGGATACAAACAAATGAAAGAACATTCCATGCTCATGGGTAGGAAGAATCAATATCGTGAAAATGGCCATACTGCCCAAGGTAATTTACAGATTCAATGCCATCCCCATCAAGCTACCAATGACTTTCTTCACAGAATTGGAAAAAACTACTTTAAAGTTCATATGGAACCAAAAAAGAGCCCGCATCGCCAAGTCAATCCTGAGCCAAAAGAGCAAAGCTGGAGGCATCACACTACCTGACTTCAAACTATACTACAAGGCTACAGTAACCAAAACAGCATGGTACTGGTACCAAAACAGAGATATAGATCAATGGAACAGAACAGAGCCCTCAGAAATAACGCCGCATATCTACAACTATCTGATGTTTGACAAACCTGAGAAAAACAAGCAATGGGGAAAGGATTCCCTATTTAATAAATGGTGCTGGGAAAACTGGCTAGCCATATGTAGAAAGCTGAAACTGGATCCCTTCCTTACACCTTATACAAAAATCAATTCAAGATGGATTAAAGACTTAAACGTTAGACCTAAAACCATAAAAACCCTAGAAGAAAACCTAGGCATTACCATTCAGGACATAGGCATGGGCAAGGACTTCATGTCTAAAACACCAAAAGCAATGGCAACAAAAGCCAAAATTGACACATGGGATCTAACTAAACTAAAGAGCTTCTGCACAGTAAAAGAAACTACCATCAGAGTGAACAGGCAACCTACAAAATGGGAGAAAATTTTCACAACCTACTCGTCTGACAAAGGGCTAATATCCAGAATCTACAATGAACTCAAACAAATTTACAAGAAAAAAACAAACAACCCCATCAAAAAGTGGGTGAAAGACATGAACAGACACTTCTCAAAAGAAGACATTTATCCAGCCAAAAAACACATGAAAAAATGCTCACCATCACTGGCCATCAGAGAAATGCAAATCAAAACCACAATGAGATACCATCAAAAAGTCAGGAAACAACAGGTGCTGGAGAGGATGTGGAGAAATAGGAACACTTTTACACTGTTGGTGGGACTGTAAACTAGTTCAACCATTGTGGAAGTCAGTGTGGCAATTCCTCAGGGATCTAGAACTAGAAATACCATTTGACCCAGCCATCCCATTACTGGGTATATACCCAAAGGACTAGAAATCATGCTGCTATAAAGACACATGCACACGTATGTTTATTGCGGCATTATTCACAATAGCAAAGACTTGGAACCAACCCAAATGTCCAACAATGATAGACTGGATTAAGAAAATGTGGCACATATACACCATGGAGTACTATGCAGCCATAAAAAATGTTGAGTTCATCCTTTGTAGGGACATGGATGAAATTGGAAATCATCATTCTCAGTAAACTATCACAAGAACAAAAAACCAAACACCACATATTATCACTCATAGGTGGGAATTGATCAATGAGAACACATGGACACAGGAAGGGGAACATCACACTCTGGGGCCTGTTGTGGGGTTGGGGGAGGGGGGAGGGATAGCATTGGGAGAAATACCTAATGCTAGATGACGAGTTAGTGGGTGCAGCGCACCAGCATGGCACATGTATACATATGCAACTAACCTGCACGTTGTGCACATGTACCCTAAAACTTAAAGTATAATAATAATAAATTAATTAATTAAAGAAAAAAAAGAATTCCTCTAATGAAATTTTATCAGCAGATTAGACACAATAAAGTATAGTGAACTTAAAGATAGATCAGTAGATACATAATAAGGAAAGAGATTGAGAAGTGAAGAGGGAGATGAAGAGAAAAGAACAACCCAGAGTTATGGGAAAATATTACATGGTACAAAAAAAAGAAAAAAAACCCATAAAATTGGGGTCCCAGAAGGACAAAAAAGAAAGGAGCAGAGGGCATACTTGAAAAAAAAATTGCCAACAAGATTCTGAAATTAAAGAAAAGCAATAACCACATATCTAAGATCACAGAATCTCAGCAAAATAAATACGAGAAAAACCTACCTTGGCACATTATAGTACAATGGCTGAAAACTAAAGATAATGAGAAGATCTTGAGGGCAGCTAGTAAAAAGAATTGTAACAGAGAAAGAAAAGGATGTCAAAAGGTTAACTCATCAGAATGTATGCAAGCTGGAAGATAATAAACAAAAATGTTTATTGAACTGAAAAAAAATCTATCAACACAGAATTCTGCACCCAGGAAATATATCTTTCTAAATAAAGGTAAAAGAAATAGCTTTCAAAAAACAGAAGCGTGGATAGTTTAGTGACAGCAGATCTGCACCACCAGAAAAGAATTTAAAAGATGTTCTTCAGAGTACAATTTCTGCCAGATATTTATATTGACATAAATAAATGGAGAACACTGAGAGTAGCAAAAGTATGGGTAAATATAAACACATATTTTTTGTGATGTTTAATCTCTTTGAAAAATAATTGGCTGTCATTTTAGTCAGGGTTCTCCAAAGAGAACCAATAGGATATATATGTGTATATATATAGAGAGAGAAAGAGAGCTATATAGGAAGAGATTTATTAGGGAAATTGGCTCACTTGATTATGGTGGCTAAGCAGTTCCATAATAAGCTATCTGCAAACTGGAGAATCAAGGAAGTCAGGAGCATGGCTTGGTCCCAGTCTAAAGCCTCAGAAGCAGGGAAGCCAGTAGTGTGGTTTAGTCTAAGTCTGAAGGCCTCAGAACCAAGGAAGCCAACAGTGATCTCTCAGTCTGAGCCTGAAGGCCTGAGAGCCTGAGAGCCATGGTGGGCTCTCAGAGCTCAGAACTCTTAGAACTCTGGGACACAATTCCAAGAGTTCAAAAGCCAGAGAACCCAGGGTTCTGACATCCAAGGGCAGAAGAAGCCATCCTGGCTCTAGAACAGAAAGCAAGAATTCACCCTTTCTCTTTCTTTTTGGCCTATCTGAACCTCTGCCAACTGGAAGGTGCCCACCTACATTGAAAACAGATCTTCTCCACTCAGTCTACCAATTCCCGTGCCAATCTCCTCTGGAAGCACCCTCACAGACACACCTGGAACCCAATCATTCTAACCAAAAGCAAAACCAACTGAATTCCCTTTCAACAGAAGAGGGACAGGCTCAGTGCCTATTAAAGCATTGAAAATAAATGCTCTATTAGCTATGTGAGTACCCCATAACCTAGTCAATTTGACACCCCCCCAAAAAGAGAAAAAAATCATAAAAAATGTTCACTTTAGGAAAAGGAACCAAAGAAATGATAGAACAAATGGAAAATGAATGGCAAGATCTAATAAAGAAATTAAATCAAAAATGTCAGCAAGATGGTGGAATTGGAGGCTTCTAATTTTCTCTCAGATGCACCAAATGAACATGTACACATGGATCAGTTCTCTCTGAGAGAAAGTTAGAAACTAGCTGAATAACTCTTACACACTGGGTAAATGAGAAAATATCCACAGGGATATGGGTAGGAAAAACTGAGACACTCTCAGGTATAAATTCTGCCCTGGGCACTGTGCCACAGAATCAGAAGGAATCCCCAACTCTTAATTTCTTTTTCAGAAACAAAGGGTTTAGGCCACAGATATTATGCCACAATTTTCCTATATCCTCCCAAAGAATTTTTCTCTTAAATTATCTAGCTCTGAGAGTGGAAGGGACTCAGCATTCATGAGTCTTTCTACAACATAAAACAAAAAAAAATGATTTTAAACCAGAATGCAAGCACTGCCAGGGACTATAATCCCCAGGACCAGTGCAGAGATAACTGACCAAAACACTCAGCTCCCAGTTTCTCTCTGGAAGAGGATTGTCTGCACACTTTCCCAGCTGCTGCTGGAAGGTCGGGCTTTTAACTAGCTTACTTCTGAGAGCCTAGGAAGCAAATAAGTCATAGAACTCTAGGAGCCTGAACAGGAAAGGAATCACTTCCCACAAATTCTTCCCAAGCTTGCTCCAGCAATAAGTCTAGGTCTTCAAATTATCTCCAGAAGGAATTTTGGCACACATTAAAGATGGAAATTTTACAGCTCCTATTTGAGGAACTGTCTCCTTAATCACCTAGCTCTGGTAGTTGACTGGACTCTGCATTCTCGACTCTCCCACATGACAGAGAAAAGGGTGGTTTTTCAGCCAGCACACATCCATTTGCTATTCCCCCAGCCTTGGAGTGTGTGGTCTAAATGAAAGTGTAGGTATGTGCCACAGATCTCCTCCTCAGCTTAATGCAGAGTGAGTCAGAGATAAACTCCAGCTCTCAGCTTCTCCCTGAAGATAGAAAGTACTAGCACACACATCTAACACCTCAACTTTTCCAGCTGCATCACAAGGAACTGACTTCTATCTTGCCTGTCTTTGGGCATTGATAATACTTGTCACACCCTAGTCTCTTGAGGGGGCAATAAGAATAAAGACAGTTATTTAGACAAACACAAAAGTTTGAGAGGCACCTAGAATCTCTGGCCAGGGTGATTGGCGATGTCTACCTTCCATACAGGACCAGTGTGAAAAACCTGGGGGATGAGGTTTTCTTTTCTAATGAGTAGAAGCCAACACAAAGAACTAAGGATAATAAAGAAATGAATTTTTTTCCAAATAAAAGAGCACTATAAACCTCCACAACCAATCCTCATGAAATGAAGATATCTGACTTACATGACTGAAAATTAAAAAAAAAAAAAATGGCCACAAAGATGATCACTGAAGGACAGGAGAGCAATGCAAGACCAAAGTGAAAATTTCAAAACATACAAAATACAAAAAGTGCCAAACAGAAATTATAGAGCTGAAGAATACAATAACTGAACAGAAAAATTCAATAGAAAGGTTCAACAGCAGACTAGGTGGAGTGGACTTAAGGATCAGTGAGCTTAAAGACAGTTCATTTGAAATTATCCAATCTGAGGTGCATAAAAAGAATAGAAAGAAAATAAGTGGATCTTTTTCTTAAGGGATATATATATGACACCATCAAGCTGAGCAATGTATGCAATATTGTAATATGAGAAGGAGAATAAGGAGAGAAAGAAAAGACAGCTTATTCAAAGAAATAATGGCTGAAAGCTTCCCAAGCCTAAGGAATAAAATAGAAACCCAGATCCAAGAAGCCCACATCAAATAAAATGAATCCAAAGGGACCCAAGATTTTAAGACACATAATCTAATTGTCAAAAGTTAAAGACAGAGGAATTTGAAAGTAGCAAGGGAAAAACAACTTATTACCTAAAATAAAACTTCTATAAGACTATAGTGAATTTTTCTGCAGAAATCTTGCAGGCCGGAAAGGGAGATAAATAATATATTTAAAGTGCTAATGGAAAAAGACTGGTCAGGTGTAGTGGCTAATGCCTGTATTCTCAGCACTTTGGAGGCTAAGGTGGGAGGATCACTTTAGCCCAGGAGTTCAAGACCAGCCTGGGCAATATAGTGAGATGCTGTCTCTACAAAAAAAAAATAATAATAAAAATCGTTTGGGCGTGGTGGCACTTGCCTGTAGTCCAGGCTACTTGGGAGGCTGAGGTAGGAGGATCATTTGAACCTGGGAGTTGAAGTTGTAGTGAACTATGATCTCACCACTGCACTCCAGCCTGGGCAACAAGGAGAGAGACCCCACCTAAAAGAAAAAAGAAAAGACTGTTCACTAAAAATGCTATACCCAGCAAATGTATTATTCAGAAATGAAGTGGAGAAAAATGTTTTCTCAGACAAAAAAAAAGCTGAAAGAAGTTATCATTACTAGATTTGCCATTCAAGAAACGTTAAAGAGAATTCTTCAAGTAGAAATGAAAAAATGCTAAATAGCAACACAAGAGCATAAGAAGGTATGAAACTCATTGGCAAAGGTAAATATATAGGCAAAAACGAATTATATTACTATAACAATAATGACTAAATCAATTGTAATCCCCCTACAAAAGTGAAAAGACAAAGGTATTTAAAACAACTATAACTAAATTATGTTAATTAAAACATAGACTAGATAGTTGTAAATTGTGACTTATATAATATAGAATGTGGAGGAATATAAGTAAGAGTGGAGAGTCTTGCATGCAAGGGTAATTAAGTTCTCAGCTTAAAATAGATGGTTATAACTGTACGATATGTTATGTAGACCCCTTAGGAACAAAAATCCCTATACAAGCTACACAAAAGAAAAATAGACAGAAATCAAAGCCTGCCAATACAAACAGACAAATAAATAATGAAACACATACCAACAAAGACAGTTAAGAGAGGAAAAGAGAGATTTAAAAAAAAAAAAAGATAAACAGAGCACAGCTAACAAAATGGCAACAGTAAATCCTTTCTTATCAATAATTAAATGTAAATGAAGTAAAATCCCCAGTAGAAAGATACAGAGTAGCTAAGTGGCTAAAAATACAAAATTCTATTACATGTTGTTTACAAGAAACTCAGTTTAGATTCAATGACACACATAGACTAAAAGTAAAGGGATGGAAAAAAATATCCCATGCAAATGGTAACTAAAAGAAAGCAGGAGTGGCTATACTTACAGCAGACAAAGTAGATTTTTAAGCCAAAAACTTTCTCTAGAGACAAAATCATTACATAATGATAAAAGGGTAACTCAACAGGAAGATATAACAATTGTAGATAAACATATTTTCAACACCAGAACACCTAAGTATATAAAGCAAATGTTGACAGATCTGAAGGAGAAATTGACTGCAATACTGCAATACTAAAACAATAGATTTCAATATCCTATTTTCAATAATAAATAGATTATTGAAAGAGGAAATCAATAAAACTATGAAACTCTTGGAAGAAAACACAGGGGTAATGCTCCTTGACATTGGCTTGGCAATAACTTTTGGATATAACACTGAAAGCTCAGGTAACAAAAGCAAAGATAAAGAAGTAGAACTACATTACAGTAAAAAGCTTCAGCACAGAAAAAAAAAAAAGAAATCAACAAAATGGAAATCTAGTCAATGAACTGAGAGAAAATATTTGCAATTCGTATTTCCAATGGGGTTAATATCCAAAATATATAAGAAATAGCTACAACTCAATAGCAAAATAGTAATAATAATAATAACCTGATTTTAAAATGGGCAAAGGACCTGATAGACATTTTTCCAAAGGAGACATAAAAATGGCCAACAGTTCTTTTGCGTTTGCTGAGGAGTGTTTTACTTCCAATTTTGTGGTCAATTTTAGAATAAGTGCCATGTGGTGCGGAGAAGAATGTATATTCTGTTGATTTGGGGTGGAGAGATCTGTAGATGTCTATTAGGTCCACCTGGTCCAGAGCTGAGTTCAGGTCCTAAATAGCCTTGTTAATTTTCTGTCTTGTTGATCTGTCTAATATTGACAGTGGGTGTTAAAGTCTCCCACTACTATTGTTTGGAAGTCTAAGGCTCTTTGTAGGTCTCTAAGGACTTGCTTTATGAATCTAGGTGCTCCTGTATTGGGTATATATATATTTAGGATAGTTAGCTCTTCTTGTTGTGTTGATCCCTTTACCATTACGTAATGCCCTTCTTTGTCTTTTCTGATCTTTGTTGGTTTAAAGTTTGTTTTATTAGAGACTAGGATTGCAACCCTTGCTTTTTTTTGACTTTCCATTTGCTTGGTAAATCTTGCTCCATCCCTTTATTTTGAGCCTATGTGTGTCTTTGCGTGTGAGATGGGTCTCCTGAATATAGCACACCAATAGGTCTTGACTCTTTATCCATTTGCCAGTCTGTGTCTTCTAATTAGGGCATTTAGCCCATTTAAGGGTAATATTGTTATGTGTGAATTTGATCCTATCATTATGATGCTAGCTGGTTATTTAGCCCATTAGTTGATACAATTTCTTCATAGTGTTGATAGTCTTTACAATTTGGTATGTTTTTGCAGTGGCTGGTACAAGTTTTTCCTTTCCATATTTAGTGCTTCCTTCAGGAGCTCTTGTAAGGCAGGCATGGTGGTGACAAAATCTCTCAGCATTTGCTTATCTATAAAGGCTTTTATTTCTCTTTCGCTTGTGAAGCTTAGTTTGGCTGGATATGAAATTCTGGGTTGAAAATTCTTTTCTTTAAGAATGTTAAATATTGGCCCCCATTCTCTTCTGGATTGTAAAGTTTCTGCAGAAAGATCCGCTGTTAGTCTGATGGCCTTCCCTTTGTGGGTAACGTGACCTTTCTCTTTGGCTGCCCTTAACATATTTTCCTTTCATTTCAACCTTGGTGAATGTGACAATTATGTATCTTGGGGTTGCTCTTCTTGAGGAGTATCTTTGTGGTGTTCTGTATTTCCTGAATTTGAATGTTGGCCTGCCTTGCTAGTTTGGGGAAGTTCTCTTGGATAATATCCTGAAGAGTGTTTTCCAACTTGGTTCCATTCTCCCAGTCACTTTCAGGTACACCAATCAAATGTAGGTTTGGTCTTTTCACATAGTCCCATATTTCATGGAGGCATTGTTCACTCCTTTTCATTCTTTTTTCTCTAATCTTGTCTTCTTGCTTTATTTCATTAAGTTGATCTAACAGTCTCTCAGACCACAGTGCAACCAAATTAGAACTCAGGATTAAGAAACTCACTCAAAACTGCACAATTACATGAAAACTGAACAACCTGCTCCTGAAAGACTGACTGCTGGGTAAATAACAAAATTAAGATAGAAATAAATAAGTTTTGTAACCAATGATAACAAAGACACAATGTACAAGAATCTCTGGGACACAGCTAAGCAGTGTTTAGAGGGAAATTTATAGCACTAAATGCCCACAGAAGAAAGCCAGAAACATCTGAAATTGACACCCTAACATCACAATTAAAGGAACTAGAGAAGCAAGAGCAAACAAATTCAAAAGCTAGGAGAAGACAAGAAATAACTAAGATCAGAGCAGAAATGAAGGAGATGGAGACACGAAAAACCCTTCAAAAAATCAATGAATCCAGGAGCTGATTTTTTGATTAACAAAATACATAAAATAGATTAACAAAATAGATAAACCACTAGCAAGCCTAACAAAGAAGAAAAGAGAGGAGAATCAAATAGACACAATAAAAAATGATAAAGGGGATATCATCACTGATCCCACAGAAATATAAACTACCATCAGAGAACACTATAAACACCTCTATGCAAATAAACTAGAAAATCTAGAAGAAATGGATAAATTCATAGACACATACACCATCCCAAAACTAAACCAGGAAAAAGCAGAATCCCTGAATAGATCAATAACAAGTTCTGAAATTGGGGGGCAATAATTAATAGCCTACCAACCAAAAAAGCCCAGGACCAGACAGATTCACAGCCGAATTCTACCAGAGGTACAAAGAGGAGCTGGTACCATTCCTTCTGAAACTATCCCAAATAATAGAAAAAGAGGGACTCCTCCCCAACTCATTTTATGAGGCCAGCATAATCCTGATACCAAACCTGGTGGAGACACAACAACAACAACAAAAACAAAATTTCAGGCCAATATCCCTGATGAACATCTATGCAGAAATACTAAAAAAAATACTGGCAAACTGAATGCAGCAGCACATCAAAAAGCTTATCCACCACGATCAAATTGGGTTCATCCCTGGGATGCAAGGCTAGTTCAACATATGCAAATCAATAAATGTAATCCATCACATAAACAGAACCAATGACAAAAACCACATGATTAGAATGGCATGAACCCGGGAGGCAGAGCTTGCAGTGAGCCGAGATAGTGCCACTGCACTCCAGTCTGGGTGGAAGAGCAAGACTCCGTCTCAAAAAAAAAAAAAAAACCACATGATTATCTCAATAGATGCAGAAAAGACCTTCAGTAAAATTCAACACCCTTTCATGCTAAAAACTCTCAATAAACTAGGCACTGATAGAATGTATCTCAAAATAATAGGAGCTATTTATCACAGACCCACAGCCAATATCATACTGAATGGGTAAAAGTTGGAAACATTCCCTTTGAAAACTGGCACGAGGCAAGGATGCACTCTCTCACCACTCCTATTCAACACAGTATTGGAAGTTCTAGCCAGGGCAATCAGGTGAGAGAAAATAATAAAGGGCATTCAAATAGGAAGTCAAATTGTCTCTGTTTGCAGATGACATGATTGTATATTTAGAAAACCCTGTTGTCTCAGCCCAAAATCCCCTTAAGCTGATATGCAACTTCAGCAAATTCTCAGGATACAAAATCAATGTGCAAAAATCACAAGCATTCCTATACACCAATAATAGACAAACCAAGAGCCAAATCATGAGTGAACTCCCATTCACAATTGCTACAAAGAGAATAAAATACCTAGGAATAAAACTTACAAGGGATGTGAAGGACCTCTTCAAGGAAAACTAAAATCGCTGCTCAAGGAAATAAGAAAGGGCACAAACAAATGGAAAAACATTTGATGCTCGTGGATAGGAAGAATCAATATCATGAAAATGGTCAAACTGCCCAAAGTAATTTATAGATTCAATGCTATCTCCATCAAGCTACCATTGACTTTCTTTAAAGAATTAGAAAAAAACTGGTTTAAATTTCATATGGAACCAAAAAAGAGCCTGTATAGCCAAGACAATCATAAGCAAAAAGAACAAAGATGAAGGCATCATGCTAATTGACTTCAAACTATACTACAAGGCTACAGTAACCAAAACAGCATGGTACTGGTACCAAAACAGATACATAGACCAATGGAACAGAACAGAAGCCTCAGAAATAATGCCACACATCTACAACCATCTGATCTTTGACAAAACTGACAAAAACAAGCAACGGGGAAAGGATTCCCTATTTAATAAATGGTGTTGGGAAAACTGGCTAGCCATATGCAGAAAACTCAAAATGGACTCCTTCCTTACACCTTATACAAAAATTAACTCAAAATTGATTAAAGACTTAAACCTAAAACCATAAAAATCTTATAAGAAAACCTAGGCAATACCATTCAGGACACAGGCATGGGCAAAGACTTCATGACTAAAACACCAAAAGAAATGGCAACAAAAGCCAAAATTGACAAATGGGATCTAATTAAAAGAGCTTCTGCACAGCAAAAGAAACTATCATCAGAGTGAACACCCAACCTGCATAATGGGAGAAAATTTTTAAAATCTATCCATCTGAAAAAGGGCTAATATCCAGAATCTACACAAGGAACTTACACAAGTTTACAAGAAAAAAACAACCCCATCAAAAAGTGAGCGAATGATATGAACAGACACTTCTCAAAAGAAGACATTTATGTGGCCAACAAACATATGAAAAAAAGCTCATTATCATTGGTCATTAGAGAAATGCAAATCAAAACCACTATGAGAGTCCATCTCATGCCAGTTAGAATGGCAATCATTAAAATGTCAGGAAACAACAGAATCTGGAGAGGATGTGAAGAAATAGCAATGCTTTACACTCTTGGTGGGAGTGATAATTAGTTCAACCATTGTGAGAGACAGTGTGGTGATTCCTCAGGGATCTAGAACCAGAAATACCATTTGACCCATCAATCCCATTACTGGGTATATACCCAAAGGATTATAAATCATTCTGCTATAAAGACACATGCACACATATGTTTATTGCAGCACTATTCACAATAACAAAGACTTGGAACCAACTCAAATGTCCATCAGTGATAGACTGGATAAAGAAAATGTGGCACATATACACCATGGAATACCATGCAACCATAAAAAGGATGAGTTCATGTCTTTTGCAGGGACATGGATAAAGCTGGCAACCATCATTCTCAGCAAACTAACACAGGAATGCAAAACCAAACACCGCATTTTCTCACTCAGAAGTGGGAGTTGAACAATGAGAAAACATGGACACAGGGAGGGGAACATCACACACCGGGGGCCGTTTGGAGGTGGGGGGCTAGGGGAGGGATAGCATTAGGAGAAATACCTAATGTAGATGATTGAGCAATGGGTGCAGCAAACCACCATGGTACGTGTATACCTATGTAACAAACCTGCATGTTCTGCACATGTATCCCAGAACTTAAAGTATAATATATATTACAAGGCTATAGCAACCAAAATAGCATGGTGCTGTAAAAAAACTGAAACATAGATCAATGGAACCGAATAGAGAAAGAAAGAAATCAATGTATCAAAGGGATACCTGCACTTATATGTTTATTGCAGCACTATTCACAATAGCAAAGATCAACCTAAGTGTGCATCAATGGATGAATGGATTTAAAAAAGTGTTGTGTGTACATATACATGTATACACACACACACACACAATGGAATACTATTTAACCATGACAAATAATGAAATTGTGTCATTTGCAGCACCATGGATGGAACTGGAAGTCATTATTTTCAGTGAAACAAGCCAGACAAAAAAATACAAATATACAAATACAAAAATTTAAACCACAAAAACACTAATAACACGTGTTCAAAAAAAATGGCCAACAGGTATATGGAAAAGTGCTTATTACCACTAATCATCAAGGAAATGGAAGTCAAAAACTCAATGAGATTTTACCTCACACCTGTTAGAATGGCTATTATCAAAAAAATTAAAGATAAGTGTCAGCAAGCGCATTTATATATATAAATGAATTAATACATAAATTAATAATACAGCCATTATTGAAAAGAGTAGGTGCCTCAGAAAATTAAAAATAGAACTATCTTCATGATTCAGCAATTCCACTTCTGGGTATATTTAAAGTAATTGAAATCAGGATCTAGAAGAGATATGTGGACTTCGTGTTCATTGCAGCATTATTCACTATAGCCAAGATACGGAAACAACAACATAAGTGTCCATCAACAATGAATGGATAAAAAAATTATGGCATATATATCAATGAAATATTATTTATCCTTAAAAATCAACAACACGGAAAAACCTGGAGGACATTATGCTAAGTCAAATAAGCCAGGCACAGAATGAAAACTACTGCATGGTATCACTTACATGCAGAATCTAAAACGAAGTCAAATACATATAAACAGTGAGTAGAACAGTGGCTACCAGAGGCAGGGAGAGACAGAGGGCATAGAGAAAAGTCAGAGCGTATAAACTTACAATTATACATGATAAATAAATCTGGATATCTAATGTACAGCATAAGGACTATAGTTAATAATATCGTACTGCACACTGAAATTTTGTTAAGAGAACAAATTTTAGGTGCTATTTCCACACATTAAAAATAATAATGGAAGGTGATGGATAATATAATTTGCTTAACTGTAATAATCATTTCACTGTGTGTAGGTATATCAAAATATCATGTTATACACAGCTTACATATATATAACAAATAATTTATATTCAGAATATGTTTAAAAAAACTTTTACCAGAAGGAAGTGTGAACAGTTAAAATGGGCAAAACATCTGAACACTTTATTAAAGAACATATATACAAATGGCAAGTAGGTTTATATAAATATGCTCAAAATATTTAATCACTGAGGAAATAAAAATCAAAACTCCAGCACTACCCAACTACCAGAATTAGTAAAATTTAGAAGACTGAAAATCCTAAGCACTGAAGATGTAGAGCAACTGAAACTCTCATATATTGCTGATAGAATGCAAAATGGTCCAGGCACTTTGGAATAACTAGATAAATTGTGGTACATATGAACAATAAAATAATATGCAGCAATAAGAAAAGAACAAGCTACTAATACACGATAACAGGGGTCAATATCAAATGCTTCATTCTAAGAGAAGGAAGACAAACTCAGATGGCTACAATGAATGATTCCATACTGTATAGCATTCTGATCTGAAAAAGGCAAAGCTATAGAGAGAGTTATCAGATCAGTGATTAATAGGGGCTAAGTGTGGAGAGAGGGGAGTGACTGCAAAGAAGGAGAAGAGAACTTTGGGGCTAATGGAAATGTTCTTTATGATAACTGCTGTATTAGTTTGCTATAATTAAATACCACACATTGGGTGGCTTCAACAACTGAAATTTGTTTTCTCACAGTTTGGGTCTCTGGAAGTCTAAGATCAAGAAGCCAGCAGAGATGGTGTACTCTGAGGTTTCACTCTTTGGCTTGCAGATGGCCACCCTTTTGCTGCTGCCTCTTTATGTGGTCATTTATCTGTGCCGGCCCATTCATGGTGTCTCTTTGTGTGTTCAAAATATGGATCCTTTTATAAGAACACGAGTCAGATTGAATTAGGGTCCAGCCATATGACTTCATTGAACCTTAGTTACCTCTTTACAGACCCTACCTATGAACAGTCACATTCTGAGGTACTGGGGGTTAGGCCTTCAACATAAAAATTCTGGTGGACACAATTCACCGCATAACAACTGTGGTGGTAGTTACACAACTATATATATTTTTCTCAAGTCATCAACTTGTACTCTTCAAGAGTGATTTTTATTGTATATATATTCAATACCAATAACTAATAACTCAATAAAAGTTGTTTTTTAAAAAATGAAAAATGGTCATTCATTCTATTTCTTTTAGTTTGTGTTGATATAAATTTTTTAACTTGCACATTAATGCAAATTTCTAAGGAAGTCATAAAATGTACTATTAATGATTTAGGATTTTTCCATAGAAAATGATTTCAAGGAGTTTGATAACTTTGCATAATTAATGGCATTTGCCTAAGGTCATTATTTTTATAAATAGAAAATTTTAATAATAAGTTGTAACCTGCTGCCATGTGTTTGTATTTATTTTTTTAGAAGTACAGCTATTGAAAATGCAACCAGTGAAAAATCATCAGAATCCTGTACAACTACATTACATATTCCAAGTTTGGCCCATTCATACAGAATGAATATTGTTAAGCTTAAAATATGCCAATGATCGTTAGCTGATACCATGCTGTAATTGTTCCAATGTTTAGTGATTGCATCATCTCAGAAACAACTGTATTGCAAATACAAAAGAAAGCTTCAACCAAAGTTTCTATGAAAGATCTCAAATACCTCTCTTATTCTTCCATTATTATTTACACAATTTTGGTAAATATCTGCTAGGAACATCTGGAAGGACACAAAAGATGACATGGGTTTCCATGAATGAGCTAGAACAGCTTGCTTGCCAAATATCAGTATATGTGGGTGAATAAGACTATTATTTTTATTTATGGAGGTCACACTCTGTGGGATTAATGGTGAACATCTCTATCATAGAATATCACTGTAACAAATAAATAATAATAAAAGAAAAAAACCACTATATGTCTTAGCTTAAATTCATCCTCACAATGTACAGTTTAAGAATGCAAAAATAAGTGATGTAATTTTCTCACATGGAAATTATTGCCCAAAACTATGATTGTCGTTAAAGTATAAAACAGCAAATGGCAGGCCTAAATATGGATTACAATGGTAGTGCCAGTACACATTATTTTAGGATCTACAAATAAAGTGATATAGCTGGCAACTTCTTCAAAATGGATAGCACTTCATGAAGATGAAAAAGCCTTTATTTTTTTTCAATCTGACAGGTTGTTGATGGTGTTATCATCTGACAAGTGCTTTCACTAAGTAAATACATATGTCCAGATTGAACACTACTGCTGGCAGGAGAGATTTCCAGCAGGCTCGCATAGTCTTACACTATACTTCTTGGGAAAATACATTCAGTCCTGATCTGTAAAAGGTACAGGAGAAATCTGTAAGACATCCAGCTGTTCACCACTTTGTGGTGCATAGCTGGACTCCAGTCTAAACTCAACAAACGAATCTGCGAGGCAGTTCAGTATAGGCACACAACTTTGTAATGATCTAACAAGAAAATACGTACTCGAAGCACATTGTATTTATAGTAGATTTGGGGTTAGCCTCACTAAATACTTTACAAAAATAGAATCAGCAGGTGCAAAAAAATCTTTTCAATTGTTGAAAATGCACAGAAGTAATTCCCATTCTTTTCAGCTACATTTGTAATAAATGCTTTTTCCCCAACAAGCATGGACACAGAAAGAGAAATGTCATTGCTTCCTGCAGGACTTCATGTCCTAGTCATTCCTAGAAAAGAGAAGTTGTATGTCAAGCAAAACATACCCTGGTGACTGAAAAATTGTAGAAATGATTTCGAAAACAACTGTACGGCATGTGGTCTGGAAAATTCCCACACATTGCACATTATTTTAGAAAATTCCAAGTCTTGCCTTTTTACAAAATATTCAAATCCAATAAAAGAAAATGACATGTTTCTAGACATATTCCTTAAGGAAAGTGCTTCTCAAATTGTATATGCATAAGAAGCACATGGAAATTTTTTTTAAACTGTAGATGCTAATTCAGTAGTTCTAGTGTAGGATCTGAGACTCTGCATATCTAACAAACTCAGATGATGTTGATGCTGCTGGTCTGCAGATACAGTTTGAATAGCAAGGATTTGGAATATTCTACACTGACAGCTGAATGCTGTCGGACCTATAATATATGGGAGCAGTAGAATTCTATTAGTGTTGGTGAGATTTCATTTTTAAGAAAATTAATATTTGAAAATATAACCTATTTATGTGAAAAGTGTGTTCTTGGAGCTGGGAGCTGTGTTAGGGAGCATGAGGACTAAGTTGAATTTCAGAGCCCTAGAAGAATAGGCAGTGGAAACTTGGGCTATGAGTGCCAAGTGGCTACAGTTGGTATCCTGTCCTTTTTTTCAGAATGATCAAGTACACTTTACTCTTGGTCTCCTTCTGCATTTGTTTACTGATGCTGATGCTTGACATTCTTTTAGTAGTCCATGTATTAGTTTTCTAAGGCTGCCATAGCAAAGTACCAGAGATCAGTGGTTAAACAAAGGAAATTTATTTCCACGGCTCTGGAGGCTCAAAGTCCAAGATCAAAGTGTCACCAAAGTTGGATTATTCTGAGACCTCTTTCATTGGCTTGTAGATGGCCATCTTTTCCCTATTTCTTCATATTGTCTCCCACTCTATGTGTCTATGTCCCAAACTCTTCTTATAACAACACTGGTCCATGAATTGCGGTATACCTTAATGATCTCATTTTAACTTCATTACCTCTTAAAGACCCTACCTCCAAATACAATTACATACTGAAATACTGAGACTGAGGACTTAGCATATGAATCTGGGGGAGGGAGACAGAATTCAGTCTATAACAGTCCATATAATAAAACTGTAAAATTATATAATTGTTATATAATTATATGGAGACACACATACTTCTTAAAATACACTGAAATTATATGGAGACACACATACTTCTTAAAATACATACCTACCAAACTAATTAACGCTAAAACATAATAAGAAAGTGACTTCAGAGTCTTTGTTGTCCTCCTGGTCTTGTTGCCTAAAATGAGAAACTAGAAGGCATGATCTGTCTGATATATTAAAAGGTAGGAAATCAGAGGCTTTGGGTGAATCCTCATCCCAAATTTCTGAATCCCAACTCCACATTTAATGGTTTCATAGCAGTTCATAGCAATATAAAGACATAATGTGCTTCTTCCACTGTGTTAATATTTGCATTTTTGCTGCAAAAGCAAAGTGGGTGAAACTGCTGATACCTAAGCACACACACAAAAAAAGCAGAAGCACCAAATGGAATTAGGAGTCATTACATTTCTCCCTGCTATACACTTGCAGTAAGTATGTCAGTTTCACTTAATAATTCAGTTTCCTTAATAATTCAGTAAAGATTGATTTTCTTTTATCCCAACTCTTGAGTACATGACTGTTAATCTAAATTACTTTTGCTATAACACATACGAGGGTTGTCTCCAGGAAGAGCTCTTGTGCAATTATCTGAGTTGCAAGCTGAACTAGCTGCTTTTTTCATGGAGGACTAAGTTTACTTGAAGGAACCATGAACATACAAACTGTGGTAATTCAGACTTGGGCAGTTGGTAGACATTGTCTCAAAAATGAACACAGTCCGCCTGACACTTCAAGGAAACAACGGACAGTACTTACTGGCAAGTATAAAATTTGAGATTTTAAGCAAAGCCAGAATAATGGAAAACTTATATCTGTAACTATAATCTTGACAGCTCCTCAGTACAAATTTTTCTAATGAGGTTAGATAACATTTTAAACTATTTAAAAATGTATACTAAAATGTTTCAGCATTTGGAATATCTGCATAATTCAGTGGACCAACATCTTCCAATTGAGGAATGGATGATGTTACAAAATAAGGCATAGCAGAATATGCAAAGACAGCCAAATGATTCTGATGTGACAGGGTAAAAATGTTCATTAATATTATTTCAGTTTTCTCATTGCAACTAACTGTTACTTGTAGAGCTTTGATGTAGTGTGAAAAAGAATATCCAAAATTGCTGTAAGAAGCTATTAAAATACACCTTCTTTATTCAACTATGTACTTGTCTTTGTAACATTGGAATTATTTTGCTTACTTCAATCAGAACAACACATCACAACAGACTGAATGCAGAAGCAGATATTTGAATTCAGTTGTCTTCTATTAATAAGGAAATTTTAAAAAATAGAAAATAATTCTACTCTGCTCATTGTGTTTTTGCTTTCCAAAATAGTTATTTCATAAAAATAATTATTTTTACATTAATACATAATGTTCACAATATTAAGACATGGTGGGCTAAAATTATTGCTACTTTTAAATAAGCTAAAAAATTTTTCATTTTTCAAAATTAATTTTAATACAATGAATATCAATGACTAGATCCCACATCAACAAAACTAACTGTCATCTTCAATAATTTTTAAGTAAAAGGGTCATGAAACCAAAAAGTCTGAGAACCAATGCTGCAGGAAATGGACACTCTGTTACTGTGACTGGAGATTCTGCATGAATCCCTGTGTGCCCATCTATTCTTAGGATGCAAGGTAGACCAAGCATAAACTTCAAACAGCCCCTTTCATCTTTATCCTCAAAAAGCAAAATAGAGCTTGGCCCTTTCTTTTATCCAAAATTAACCCAGACATATTTGTCTTTGCAGAGGTAGCAAGCGGCTGAAAGAGGAAAGCCAATCAGTCTGTCTTATTCTTACAATTAGAGAATGAAAACTTCTATTACTTTTTACACTTCTTCCTGAAATTATAATGCAGAACTATTCCTGAGGAAGTCTTTATTCTTCCTACCTGGGGCTTTTCAGACTCTGAGGGCAGGTGTTTCTTCAGCAGGAAGCTAAAGATGCAGCCGTATGATATGAATTTAAAAGATTGTAAAGAAAGAGAGTTGTCCTCATCTAGGTTTACCTTCACTGATGTCATCATCGTCGTCATCATACTTAGCATCATCATCATCACCTATAATATTCACATATAAATATCCATAGTTACTAATTCTTGAACATAACATGCTAGGTATCATCCTAAGTATTTTTTAAGAATTACCTCAGGAAATCTTCACCACAAATCCCAGGAAGCAGGCATTTTGTTATTTCCACTTTACAGATGGGAAGCTAAAACTGACAGATTAAGTAAATTAGCACAAGGCACCAACTAATAAGGAGAGTGATCTGGGGTTTAATTAAACCCAGAAAGTCATTCTCCAGAGTCTTAACACTCAACAGAAAAGCTCCACTGCTTCCCATGAACTTTATGTAAAGGGAGATTAATGAACATCATTCTGTGAGGCCTCACTTGCCATTTTGTTTTTATCAGTCTCATTACCCTAAATGGTGGGGTAGGAAAAGGAGTTTTGTTCAAAATCAATGTTTTACAGCTTTGAGAAGTTATTCTGGGAGACTTCTTGTTAAGTTACAATAGAAAAAGCTTTATTTTGAATAATTTTGTGAAGTTCTGTTTGTTTATTGTGTCTTGGTTTTTTTTTTTTTTTTTTTTTTGCTTATGTACTATGATTATGAGACCTGATGTCTTATGTGGCTTTCAGTTGCCGATAAAGTCATACAAGTTTGCCTAACAAAACAAAAATTTTCCCTCAAGCTGAAATTTAAAAATTGTTTATCACATGGAATCTTATATAAGAGATTCTAAGTCACATAATGGACTATGTCTTCACTACCATTGTCAAGTAAAAAAAAGAAACATTTTTGAGGTGGACATGTCTTATATTGACTCTCTATAAAAGCTTGCAGCCCAACATTAAATCATATATCCGTGAAAGTATTTCTGAAAGAAACTAAGCTAATATCACTCAGATGTGTTATTCGAGCTGACCTGACTTGATATGGAGACTCGACTAAGAGAAATTAGAGAAATGAATAGTTAATATATTTTTAGCCTCCATTATTATATCTCAACGGAGCTGATGGCAAGTGTTGGCTTACAGTCAACTCTTGATTAGACTTCCTGACACAGCCTGAAGAAGCAATATTATGTTTTGTTTATTAGAAAGAAATCCTAATGCTTTAGATGCCAAGCATTGAGGCAGCTGGCAAATCTGTTTTAAAAGTGTAGAAGCCTGTCATATTCTCAGCAAGAGAAACATTGTAAACTATATGTAGGTGAGTCCCAGGCAGATATAGAATTGAATCTCATTTTTTTTTCTTTATAGGAACAGACATGGATTTATCTAAATTCCCCTTATGGACAAGCAAAAGTCCTAGGAACTACGACTGAGTTTGGGTGAGACTGGCTCAGGTTTTCCGGCCCGTGTAGTTGAAGAAATTAACTGTTACCTATGATAAGCCTGCTCAGACAATATTCAATCAAGATCTGAAAGAAATATTCAGTTGAGACTACAACCATTACCATTACTACAAAGGTTTTGGGGTTTTATTTTATTTTTCTCTGATAAATGTGTAAGAGAAAAATTTGAAATAGAAGTTCATTAGAATAGGTTAACTTAAGGATTATAAGATTAAAATACCATTCATTTGAACTTAAATTATACTTTTATACACTTTTTGTATTATAAACAATTTCTGTATTTATCTATTCATAGTGTATTAAGAGTTAATAGTGAATTATATGTACATGGGCATTGTGGAAGATAATAGGTCAAAAATCAGTCAAAATTCATTGAGAAAGTTGCTAGTACTGCACTTTGAGAAAATAATCAGGAAAATGGCTTTCTAATTCCGGGTAGGTAAAATATTTCTCATTAATATAAAATACACTAAACTTTGAGTCTATCCTAAGGAAAGTATGTCTGAATTTTTCGTTACAATAACATAGATATGGTCCAACCACTCAGTGTTGAGATTGAGATATTCTTTTGAAAAAAAAACTTTTCTAAGCCCCTTTTCAGCTTTAAATTTTAAAATCGATGAAGTTACTGGATCTATCTTAAAGAAAATCCTGGAAGTTAGAAAATGTAAATGAGTACATCATAAAACTGTAAAACCTAGAGAAATGATATGCTTAGTCATCATTAGATGATTTCAATCAATCATTCACATTACAGAAGTAATTCCATGAGAAACAGTATTCCCTGCCCTATCTTCATTATTAGATTGGGCCTGACTGCTTAGCCCAGGCCTCCTATTGATTTAATTCATTTTTTAAATAAATGAGTTATTTCATAAAAGAATTTAAAACTAATACATTTATGTGTGACTTCATCTGATTTCCATTTGAGTTGTTGTCTGTCTTTGCCAATTATTTTAATTATATTTTATTTTATTTCTGTTTTTTCAACTTCCTGGAGGTCTTGTTCAAGAAACAGGGTTGAAAGATGTGGTTTAAGGGCAGAGTAGTTAAAATTTATTTAAGCCTTCCTATCAACAGTTCTTTCTAAAAGATAGTTGAGAGGATTTGTCATAATTCTTTGGTCTCAGAACGTTACCTGCAAAACTAAAGCAACTCTTTCTCTATTTTAACCTTCTGTCCATTGGTCAGATTCATTGACGGCAGTATGAAGGACAAGATTAAGAGTATAAGGACTGTGATTATTTTCAACTCTGATGATAATACCCAATTCTGGAATTGGGCCAAACAACTAAAAAAGGATGATTATTATTAAGAAATAATGTTGGGCTTTTAGTTGGAGATAATCCTTTAGATTTATTCCTTAGACCATGTGTAGGAGAGATACAATTTTCAGCATATATTAATAATTTATCCCTTGACTCCCAACTCTACTCAACAATGCCACCTTCCTCATCTCAGTGCTCCAATTTCATCTGGGTTCCCACCTTCTTCCTTGCAACCATGTGCTCAAAAGAGGTGACTATCCCCAGCCCTAATCCCCACTCCCATCCTCATGAGAAAGTCAAAATAATGACATGAACTCTATTATAATTTATCTTGTAGCTTAAAAAACCCTCAAAATGAAAATACATTGTGGAAAATCTCTGAAAGAATACATAAATGAAATCAGTATAATGAGCAGTGATCCTCCATTCTTTCACTATCACTAACCCTTTAAGCCATGTCCCTCCTTTGGTGTATCTGTATGAATCACCGAGGGACAAATTCTCTGCTTAACCCTGTAATAATTCTGGGGACATAAAAGAGGTGGAATCACTTAACGTATTTCTTGAAGATATTTCATTTAAAATATTTTAAATTAGCTTTAGTTAATTTAAAGAGCTTCGGGATCTTTTATTTCTAATCAGTATCCTTCACAGAAACTAACCAAACAATTGCAGAAGCCTTTGGGAGCCCTCATTCTTACAAGGGCAAGGCTTTGTGGCTGCTTCAGCATGAAGGCAAAAGAGATTGGCAACTCAGCTGACAAACTCCCCTTTACAACACAGCAGAAAGAAAAAAACATCTGCTTAAGTGAAAACATGAGGGCAAACACCTTTCTTTTTGAAAAAAATACCCTTGATGAGTCATAGTGGGTCTTTCAGATGAGAAGTATGAGAGTCCCTAGGCAGCTAGATTTCTAATTCCCTATATAATAAAGGGAGGGCAATACAACAGAGGAAGTGTAAGGTGGGGAGAAGGGAGAGACAGAGAGAGAACAACAACAAAAAAAGATGATCTACAGTCTTCTTACTATCAAACTCTTCCAGGGCAGCAGTAGCTCAGTACAGGAGAAAACACTCAGAGATACAGAAAATATATGGCCTCATGTATGCTGTGATTTGAGTAAAAACACAAGAAAAAGAAAGAGCAACAGCAATAGCACCACGGTCTCTACAATTGAAGCCAAAATTCTAACATTTTAAGGACTGGATTCTAAGCAATTTTAAATAGAAAAAATAAGTTCATTACAGTGAACATATCAACCTGGATCAAACCACTATGGATAACGTGAGATAGCAGTAATAACATTGATTAAAGAAACAAAAAGAAGATGACCAAAGAACATATAAGAGGTTCCAAAGCTGGACAGAAACACTAGCAGAGTCACTAAGTGACTGGGAAGTGATTCTGTGCAGAAAGCAGTGTGGTATAGTGAATTGAGGATGAGGTTTGCTACAAAGAGATGTGGGTTCAAAATCTGACTCTAGTAAACCAGTGATGTGAGCTTTGGCAAATTTATTTCCCCCCCCTTAAACCTCAGTTTCTCTATTTATAAAAAGTCATATGACCTTTATAAAGGTCCTGGAACACATTAGGAACTTACTTCATCATTAAATATTGGCACTAATATTCAGATATATTCAGATATCCTTTATTTTTTACAAATCTATATTGACCATTTGATTCATATATTTATGCCTGTATTAACTGCTGTTTTATAAAATTGATTATAGTATATATTAGTCAGTTTTCACACTGCTATAAAAAAAATACCTAAGACTGAGTAATTTATAAAGACGAAGAGGTTTAATTGGCGCATGTTTCTGCCAGCTGTATAGGAAGCATGACATCTTCTGGTGGGGAGTTCAGGAAACTTTCAATCATGGCAGAAGGCAAAAGGGAAGCAGGCACATCTTACGTGCCCAGAGCAGGACGAAGAGAATGAGATGGAGGTGCCACACACTTTTAAACAGCCAGATCTCATAAGAACTCACTATCACAAGAACAGCACTAACAGGTAAATCTGTCCCCATGATCCAATCACCTCCCACCAGGCCCCACCTCCAATATTGTGGATTACAATTCAACATGAGATTTGGGTGAAGACACAGATCCAAATCATATCACAGTGGATTTATTGACTAATCCTTTGTTGTCATTGTACAATCCTGAGATTAAAAAAAGAACTTCAGAGGAGGCCAGGTGCCCTGGCTCACGCCTGTAATCCCAGCACTCTGGGAGGCCGAGGCGGGCAGACCACAAGCTCAGGAGTTCAAGACCAGTCTGGCCAACGTGGTGAAACCCCATCTCTGCTAAAAATCCAAAAAATTAGCCAGGTGCAGTGTTGTGCTCCTGTAATCCCAGCTACTCGGGAGGCTAAGGCAGGAGAATCACGTGAACCCGGGAGGCAGAGGTTGCAGTGAGATGAGATCGAGCCATTGCACTCCAGCCTGGGGGACAAGAGTGAAACTCCATCTCAAAAAAAAAAAAAAAAAGAAAAGAAAAGAAAAAAAAAAAAAAACTCCAGCTCTTGCTAAGGAGAAGTATTCGGTTGTGTTGGATTCAACCAGCGTATCTATACCCTGGTGCCCAAATTGGGTAGACACATCACTTATATTTCATTTCATTTCACCACAGCGATAAGAAATAGAAACTTGAAGCATTTTGTATGTTTCTGAAATACAATAAATCTTAATAAATTATGTCATCTTTATGCCACAAAAGCTCCCTGAACAACAAATGTGTTGAAATAGTCCACAACATAATATCAAAATATTTTCTCTGTTTTCAAATCTGTTCTTACATAGGTTTTCACTGTGTGTCTCTTTAGCACAGCTTTTGCTGGCATCAGTTATCTAAAAACAAGCTCTGGCATACTTTTTATCATGTAGACGTGTGCACTAAAAGCTTAGAACATTAACTGCAGAGTTAGAACTGAAATAAAGTGATACTAAGCCAGAATATTTCAAATAAATTTGCTACAGTTGTGTGTGCATATCTCAATGTAGCCCACCCTCTGGTATCCTCCACAAGGTCTCCACCCTGCCTGCCAATATTCGGTTTATTAGATTTGACCGAATGAAATATTTTGATTTGCATTAAACAGTTTTTGTTTGTTTTTTTGGCTTGAGATTCTGTGATCACTGAAAAATGCTAATGTCATGTACACCAGCCAAACAGTTTTGCTCATAAATATTGGATATACTACTATTTTGCATGTTTTATACATCTTTTTAATTTTAACATTTAACTGAGCACAATATTATTTACTTTCATTACTCACTAACCTAGAAATAGAAATATAAATGGGATGATATGATGATTGTGATTTTTTTATATTAACTATCAATATTAAGTGATAGTAAAAAAGAAAAATAATTCTCATTGTGATAGGAGCAGGAAAACAGGTCTTGAAAACAGAACAAATTACCTGGTTACATTCAGTGTGCCAAAAGTTTCCATGAGTTATTTTGCTAAGAATAATATCATTATCTTCCACTTAATAATTATTGTCTTGAGTGATTTTTTTTATTTTTGGTTTTTAGAAAATCCTTACTTTTGGTCAACAGCTTGGCCTCGCTACTTACAATTTCTCTGACTCGTTAATAGAATAGCAAGTTGAAAACAAAGGCTTTGTGATACTCTAAATTACTTATGTGAAGCTCCATATATTTTTTTTTAATTTTACTGGTTCCATATACATCAAGTATTTTATAATATTTTACATTTCCTATCAACACTCCAACCTATGGCTTAAACTTTAAAACAAAAGCCAACTAAAAGGTATGGCTTTTTTTTTTTTGGAGATGGAGTCCCGCTGTGTTGCCCAGGCTGGAGTGCAGTGGCACGATCTCGGCTCACTGCAACCTCCACCTCACGGCTTTAAGCAATTCTCCTGCCTCAGCCTCCGAGTAGCTGGGATTACAAAAAGAAGGTCTTGCACATCTCTCACATTAAACCATTAAACCAAAATCTAGAAATTATTAAGTTTGGTGAGGAAGGCATGACAAAAGCTAAGATGGGCAGAAAGCCAGGCCTCCTGCAACAAACAGCCAAGTTATGAATGCAAAGAAAAAGTTCTTGAAGAACATTAAAAGTGCTGCTTCAATGTACACACAAATGATAAGAAAGCCAAACAGCCTTATTACTGATATGAAGAACATCTTAGTGGTTTGGATAGAAGATCAAATCAGCCACATTATTTCCATAAGCCAAACCCTAATTCAGAGCAAGGCCCTAATTCTCCTTAATTCTGTGAAGGCTAAAAGAGGTGAGGAATCTGCAGAAGAAGTTTGAAGCTAACAGAGGTTAGTTCATGAGATTAAAGGAAAGAGACTGTCTCCAGAACACAAAAGTGCAAGGCGAAGCAGCAAGTGCTAATATAGAAGCTGCAGCAAGTTATCCAGATCTAGTTAAAATAATTGATAAAGGTGACTACACTAAACAATAGATTTTAAGTGTAGATGAAACAGTCTTCTATTGGAACAAGATGCCATCTAGGACTTTCAGGGCTAAAGAGGAGAAGTCAATGCCCAGCTTCAAAGATTCAAAGGACAAGCTGACTCTCTTGCCAGGGGCTAATGCAACCAGTTATCTTAAGGTGAAGTCAGTTTTCATTTATCATTCTGAAAATCCTAGGGGCCTTAAGAATTATGCTAAATCCACCCTGCCTGTACTCTATAAATTAAGACCTGGATTACAACAAAACTTTTTACAGCATGGTATACAGAATATTTTAAGCCCATTGTTGAGACCTGCTGCTTGGAAAACAAAATTTTCTTTCAAAATATTACTCCCCATTGACAATGCACCTAGTAATGCAAGAACTCTGATGCAGATATATAAGGAGATGAATGTTGTTTTCATGCCTGCCGACACCACATACATTCTGCAGCCCATGGACCAAGAAGTAATTTCAACTTTCAAGTTTTATTATTTAAGAAGTATAGTTCATATAAATGCCATGGATAGTGATTCCTCTAATGGATTTTGGCAAAGTAAATTGAAAACCTTCTAGAGATAATTCACTATTTTAGACACTATTAAGAACATTGGTGATTCATGGGAGTAAATCAAAACATCAACATTAACAGGAGTTTGGAAGAAGTTCATTCCAGCCTTTATGGAAGACCTGACTGGTTCAAGACTGCAGTGGAAGAAGGACCTGCAGATGTGGTAGAAATAGCATGAGCTAGAATTAGAAGTGGAGCCTGAAGATGTGACTGAATTGCTGCAATCTCATGATAAAATGTGAACAGAAGAGGAGTTGCTTTTTACAGATGAGCCAAAAAAGTGGTTTCTAGAGATGGAATCTATTCCTGATGAAGATCCTGTGAACATTGTTGAAATTATAACAAAGCCTTTAGAATATTACATGAACTTAGTTGACAAAGCAGCAGCAGAGTTTGTGAGGTTTCACTCCAATTTTGAAAAAAATTTCTATTGTGAGTAAAAGGCTACCAACACCATCATATTCTAAGGATAATCTTTCATGAAAGAGTCAGTCAATGTGGCAAACTTCACTGGTGTCCTATTTTAAGAAATTGCCACACCCATCCCAACCTTCAGCAAAGCAACCACTTCCCTGATCTGTCAGGAATCACTAACATCTAGGCAAGACCCTTCACCAGCAAAAAAAATGACACTAGCTGAAGGCTCAGATGACTGTTAGCATTTTTCAGCAATAAAGTACTTTTAAATTAGGGTCTGTACATTGTTTTCAGACATGCTATTGCACCCTTAATAGACTACAGTACAGTATAACCATAACTTTATATGCACTGGGAAACAAAAAAAAAATTGTGTGACTCACTTCACTTTATTGCAATATTTGCTGTATTGCAGTGGTCTGGAACAAAATCTGCAATATCTCCAAGGTATACTTGTAATAACTTAAGACACAAATTTCACAATTGCAGCTCATGTTTACAATTTGACTGTAACAAATGTTGTAGAAATACACAAATACTTAAATAGGCAGTAATTTTACACATTTATCCTATTTTCCCAAAATATGCACACTGATTTAGGATGCACACATTTTCCTGTGATTTCTGGCTCACCCTGTAGTCAAAGCACAGCGGAGAATAATGGCTTCAGCCATTCCCAGAGGGAAAGCAAGAAAGGTCCAAATGGTCACTCAGACAAACTGACTTGGAAAATGAGACCTTTGGGCACCACATGTGCAACACCACCAGAAGCAAAATGAATCACTGTAATAGAGTCAGCCACCTCAGTTTACATGGTAAACGATGTGTTCAGGCTTGTTTTCAGATAACTTTTGGCATTCAGTTCTTTGAAATCCCCAGGAGAGCTCAGGAGGGCACATGTATTTAATCATTGAGTATTTATTGCAAAGCTGCACAGTGAAGTGGACAAGAATAAGAAGTGAGTGTAGCCACATATAATCTTTGGCTATGGCACTTACTATGTACCCATTGGCAACTTTTTATACTTCTTCGAACTTCTGTTTCTTTAAGTGCAAATTGAAAAAAATAATTTAATGAGGATTTTGATGATTAAATAAGAAAACACATGTAACATACAACCACTAGTAAAGTTTCAATAAGCACTAGCAATTATAATGCTTACAATTGTAATGCCATTAAAGATATATACATTAGTATAAGACAAGAACAAATATTTTAAGTTGCTTGGGAGCAACTAAACTTGAAATCTTAAACTTAAACTTAAGATTTTATGTTTAGTTGCTCCCAAGCAACTTAAATTATTGGGAGCACTAGACTTAAAGTCTTAAAATATTCATCCACTCATTCATTGCATTGATGTTTTTCTTACACTCTCCTCATCAAAGATTATATTAAATGCTGATGTAGCTGGGCGTGGTGGCTGATGCCTGTAATCACAGCACTTTGGGAGGCCAAGGCAGGTGAATCACTTGAGGTTAGGAATTCAAAACCAGCCTGGCCAACATGGTGAAACCCCATCACTACTGAAAATACAAAAATTAGCCAGGCATGGTAGCACATGCCTGTAAATCCCAGCTACTCAGGAGGCTGAGGCACAAGAATCACTTGAACCTAGGAGGCGGAGTTTGCAGTGAGCTGAGATAGTGCCACTGCACTCCAGCCTGGGCAGCAGAGTGAGACTCCATCTAAAAAAAAAAAAAAAAAGGAAAAAAAAAATTGGCCGAGCCCAGTGGCTCACGTCTGTAATTCCAGCACTTTGGGAGGCCGAGGCGGGTGGATCACGAGGTCAGGAGATCGAGACCAGCCTGGCTAACATGGTGAAACCCCGTCTCTACTAAAAATACAAAAAGTTAGCCGGGTGTGGTGGTGTGCACCTGTAATCCCAGCTACCCAGGAGACTGAGGCAGGAGAATCGCGTGAAATCAGGAGGCGGAGGTTTCAGTGAGCCGAGATCATGCCATTGCACTCCAGCCCAGGTGACAGTGTAAGACTACATCTCAAAAAAAAAAACCTTGTAATAATACAAGGTGAAACACCTCAGTATAATATACTAGAAAATCATACTTTTAAAGTCAAAACTTGAATCTTAGATGTATTGCGTATTGATTTGGGACAACTGTTTAAACATTCTAAGCTTTAGTTTCTTAGATTTTAGAACAGAGATACTAATGGGAATATTTTGAGTTTTTCATGTATTTATTTAGCATATGGTAAATGTTAAATCAGTATTTTAGAATAGATAATATATGGAATAGGAGAGAGATATTAAATGTGTAGCACAAATTGTCAGAATTAAGAGAAACAGGAGACATGATGGCTAGAATTATTAAAGAAAAAATTTTAAAAATAAAATTAAAATATAATTTTATTATTGAACTTTAAAACAAGAAGAGAATTTGACTCAAGCAAATGCATGGCCAAACTATAGAAAGAAATCTCAATCAGATGGCACACCATCTTAAATGCCCCATTGAAGAGTTTGAATTCAAAGAGAAATTATTGGAATATGTAATAATTGGGAATAACATGATTAATTCAGTGTTTTACATATTAGGCGTTACATAAATTTTTCATGTGAAGGATTTTATAATATATATAAGGTGGATGGAAAAAGGAAGAAACTAATGACAGGAAGAATGATTAGGAAACCATAACCGTTGGTACTATCATAAGATGATAAGAGTCAGACAAAGTTGAAAGCAGTGAGATCTGAGATACATTTCAAAGGATCAATCCAATGGTCTTGTTTGATTGCTTGCTTGCTTGTTTTGCAAAAGAACTTATACTGATGCTACCAGTTTTGTTCTTTTTGCTCAAGATTGCTTTCGCTATTCAGAGTCCTTGGTGCTTCCATAGGAATTTTAGGATTGGTTTTTCTATTTCTATGAAAAAATTTCATTACTATTATAGAGATTGCATTGAAGCTGTAGATTTTTTGGGGGTAGTATGAACATTTTAACAATATAAATTCTTCTAATCCATGAACATGGGATATCTTTTCATTTTTTGTGTCTGTTTTAATTTCTTTCATCAATGTTTTATAATTTTAATTGTAAATATTTTTCACTTCCTTAATTCAGTTTATTCCTATGTGCTCTTTGTAGCTACTGGCAAAAGGAACGCTTTCTTGATTTCTTTTTCAGATAGTTCTCTGTTGGTGTATAGAAATGCTACTGATTTTTGTACATTGATTTTGTATCTTGCAACTTTATAATATTTGTTATTCAATTTTTTTCTTCATTATTGGTCTGCTCAAATTTTCTATTTCTTTATGGCTCAATCTTGTAAGTTGTATGTGTCCACCATGAATTTACCTATTTCTTCTAAGTTTTCCAATTTGTTGGTATATCATATTCATAATAGTCTCAAATGGGCTGGTGCAGTGGCTCATGCCTGTAATCCCAGCACTTTGGGAGGCCAAAGTGGGTGGATTACCTGAAGTCAGGAGTTGGAGACCAGCCTGGCCAACCTGGTGAAACCCCATGTCTACCAAAAACACAAAAATTAGCCAGGCATGGTGGCATATGCCTGTAATCCCAGCTACTCAGGAGGCTGAGGCAGGAGAATTGCTTGAGCCTGAAAAGCGGGGGTTGCAGTGAGCCGAGATCATGCAACTGTGCTCCAACCTGGCTGAAAGAGCAAGACTGTCTCAAAAAAAAAAAAAAAAAAAAAACCAGTCTCAAATGATCCTTTGTATTTCTGTAGTGTTAGTTGTAATGATCCTTTTTGTCTCTGCTTTTATTTATTTGAGTCTTATATCTTTTTTCCATAGGTTAACTAAAGATTTCTCAGTATAATCTTTTCAAGGAATGATCTTTTATAATTTTTTAATAATTTTTTTAGTTTTCTATTTTATTTATGTTCGAATCTTTATTATTTCTTTCCTTCTACTTATTTTGCATTTGATTTGTTTTTCTTTTTTTTTTTAGTTTATGAGTTGTATTGTTAAGTAGATTATTTGAGATCTTTCCATTTTTTCCATGTAGGAATTAATTGCTATAAACTGCATTCTTAGAACAGCCTTTGCTATCTCTTACAGGTTTTGATATGTTGTATTCGTTATCACTTATCTCAAGAATTTAAAAATTTTCCTCCTTAATTTATTCACTGATCCATCAGTTCTTCAGAAGAATGTTGTTTAATTTCAATGTATTTGAAAGGTTTCTTAAATTCTTGTCATAATTTCTTGTTTTATTGCATTGTGGTTGAAGAACACTTGATATGATTTTAATTTTAAAAAATTTTCTGAGACTTGTTTTGTGACCTACCATGTAATCTATCATGAAGAATGTCCCATGGGCCATTGAGAAGAATGTGTGTATTCTAGAGCTTTGGAAAGAATGTTCTGAAGATGTCTGTACATGGTTTTAAAATATGCTACAAGACATAGCAACAAAAACAGGACAGTAGTAGCATAAAAACAAAAACAAAAACAAAACAGATACATAGTCAAATGAAACAGAACATAAACCCCAGAAATTAACCCATGCATCTGCAGCCAACTTGTTTTTGACAAACGTGCCAAGAACATACACTGAACAAAGGACACCCTTCTCAATAAATGGTACTGAGAAAACTATATATCCACATACAGAAGAATAAAACTAGACCCTTATTCCTTAATACATACAAAAATTAACTCAAGATGGATTAAAAACTTAAATGTAAGACCCAAAACTATGAAACTACCAGAAGAAAATATAGAGAAAGAGCTTGGTTTAGGCAAGGATTTTTTTGGATAAAACCTTAAACACATGGGCAATATAATCAAATATAGTTAAATGGGATTACATCAAGCCAACAAGCTTCTGCACAGCAAAGGAGAAAATCAACAGAGCAAAGAGATAACCTATGTAATGGGAGAATATATGTGTAAATTATAAATCTGATAAGGGGCTAGTATCCAAAGTATATAAAGGGCTCAAACAACTCAACAAAAGCACAAGTAACCTGCTTTTTCAATAGGTAAGAGACCTGAAGATACATTTCTCAAAAGAGGACATGCAAATGTCCAATAAATATGTGCAAGAATGTTCAGCATCTCTAATCATCACAGAAATGCAAATCAAAATTACAGTGAGGTATCACCTCCCTTGAGTGAGAATGGCTACTATCAAAGAAATCAGAAGATAAATGTTGTTGAGGATTTGGAAAAAAAGGAAACTCTTTTACACTGCTTCAGGGAATGTAAATTAGTACAACCATGATAGAAAACAGTATGAAAGTTTCTCAGAAAACTAAAATTAGAGCTACCACATGATCCAGTTAATTCATTACAGGATATTTAATAAAAGGAAATGAACCAGTATGTCAAAGAAATACCTGCTCTCCTATGTTTATTTCCGTACTATTCACAATAGCCACAATATGGAATCAACCCAAATGTCCATCAACAGACAAATTGATAAAGAAAATGTGGTATATCTATACAAGGGAATATTATTCAGCCATTAAAAAGAGTGAAATCCTGTAATTTGCTGCAACATGGATGAAACTTGAGGATATTATGTTAAGTGAAATAGTGCAGACACAGAAAGACAAATACTGCATGATCTCATTCAATCTGAAAAATAGCTCTTATGAAAGCAGAAAGTTGAGTAGTAGTAGAGTAGAGGATGGAGAGGGTAGGTGGTGAGAGATTGATCAACAGATTTAAAGCTGCAATTAGGAAGAATAAATTCTTGTGGTCTATTGCATAGGAGGATGACTGGAGATAATAATGATGCATTGTGTGTTTTAAAATAGCTAGAAGAGAGGTTTTTTAATGCTCTTATCACAAAGAAATGATGTCTAAGGTGATGGATTATGCTAATTGTCCTGAACTGATCATTACACAATTTATACATGTATCAAAACATCACATTGTACCCCATAAACATGCACAATTATTAAGTGTCAACTATGAATATAAATAAATAGGATGTATATTGAAACAGAATAGAAGAATTTTCAAGAGCTGAGAATCTGATTGTAGGCAGATGACAATGACAAAAATGAAGAGTATCATAGTGACAATTATGTTGATAATGTTAGTTTTAATCTAGCTTATTCTGATGCAATGCTATAAGACATCAAGTGGAACTGGCCAATAGGATAAAAATGTAGGGTTAGTATGAATTTGGAGTACTACTTAAACATGTATGAGCTACAGTTATCCATCAAGGACATTTGTTTAAAGAAAGATTACCACTAAAAACTAAGCTAACAGCAAACTTTAGGTTCACAGGGAGATTGGAACAGAGGGAGCTAGGAAAGAAAAAATAAAAAAGAAAGGAGGGAAGGGAAAGGAAGGGGAAAGGCAAAGGGAAATAAAAGGGGAAAGGAAGGGAGGGAGGGAGGTACAGAGGAAAGAAGGGAGTGAGGGAAGGAGGGGCTTTTTCAAAAATGGACAAAAAGAAGAAAGATGTCTACAACTTGGGTCTTTGTTAATACCCCTGGCTAGAAAACAAGGAATCAATGGTAAGGGACTGTGAAAGGGCCACTGGATTTGTTCTAACAAAGCTGTAGAAATAGAGCAAGAAAAGATCAGTGATATTGAAGTTAAAGAAGCAGTTTCCATATGAATACAGAGGAAATGTTTTGTGATTTGGCAAGAAGGAAACCACAACACAGTTTCAGTACACTGGCAAAGACTGAAGTCAGATTTAAGAAAGTTAAGATAGGAACAGGTAATAAGGAGTATGTTTCTGAGAGAAGTGATCTTCATAGAGCTTTCTAGAAAATCTTCCATGAAAGCTTAGAATTTAAATTTGGCACAACACTCAGACTATTCCTTATGCATGGATAATTCACATACCACTGTTCTTTCAAAGACTCTATTGTTTTCTTTCCTGCATCAGTCCTTAAAATCTGTACTCAAGTTCCTGATACCAAACACAGCTTTCACAGGGCTGTGGAAAGTGGAGAACACCTTAACTGAAGTTGGTTTACTCTAGTTTAGCAACCACAGGTTACTAATCAGCCATGACTGCCTTCCAAACATCTTTCTCTGAGCTATTTTACCCCCACTAAATGATGCAGCCTCTAGGAATGTAGAGGCAGATGATTACATTTTCTCTTTTAGGGATGAAAAAGCTGTATCATTGTTCAATATGGCAAAATTTGGTAGGGAATAATATTTGAAACAAATTCGACTGTCTTCATGAAGGAGAAAATTATTCCATCAATGGCTCAGTTTTCAAATTTTAGTTGCTTTCAGAGATTTTGTTCATCTCTGGAAAATACATCTTCTAATTTTCCATTTTTTTTCCTTATTCCCTCCTTTGGGGAGGTAACTTTTCTCTATTTCTGTGGTACAGGATTAATTAAGCATTGGTTTCCCTGGCCCCAGGGATACCAAGTAGAGTACTTCTTCACCCTGACACAGTGACTGGTCCAGCGTTAAGACTATGAACTCACTGGGCCAGATGAATTTTTTGGGGAGACAGATAAGGATACTGTGTGTGAGAGAAAGGATGAGACTTTTTCTTCTTATTTGAATGAACTGTGAGAACCATGTCAGTCTTCTTACCATGAAAAAGGGGAAATTCTGTCCTATAGTCTGAAAAAAAAATCTTTAACAAAGTAGGGGTGGGTATTTTAACAATCTCTGAGAGTCTTTATTTCAAAAGTCATCTTCTGGTCTACCAAGACTACACACATGAAATCGGTGATTTGATATACTTCTTCTTTCTTCTGTAATACTTAAGTTAATTTGTCTTTTCAGAGGTAGTATGTCCTTTAGCTTCACCGGTCATGCCAAATCCAATATCTATTGCTTCTGTGAGCTGCATGATCCAGGCTTTCACTTCCAAGCCCAGTCCAAGCAGAATGTAGTGATCTCTTATCTTCAGTGCTTGATTTATTCCAGTTTTTAAGTATAGAAACTACAACAAGTTTCCAAAATACTGTCCAAGATAGTATTTGTCAGGATCCTACACCTGAGTAAGTACAAAGCTGCTTCTAAGATTACTCCCTTAGGATAACCATTAATTTCTTTTTCTATAAATTGCTTAATGATTTAGTGTTAATGGTTTCTCAAAAATTGGTCTTTTAAAAGGAGTTTTTTGAGGCCATGGTAATTGGAATTGAAATGAAAATAATTGTGAAATTTTTCTGCTGTCTAAAAGTTTTTTAAGTATCCCTGCAATTATTAGACTGATGCTAAAAAGCAAGGATGGCATTTCATATACAAGTTATCACTAAGCTTCCGGGTGAATTGTGTGTATGTACTAATTGTGTGTACAACAAGGGCACAACTTCATTAATGGTATAATATGCTATCTTTAAAGTGTTTTACTGTAAATTATAGTATGAGGACATTTGAAATAAATCATAGCAATAAAAGAAAAAATATTCTCCCTAAATTATTCTTAAAATGGAGATCATAGAAATCATTACAATTAATAATATTATTTTCTAAAAACTTTAAATCACTAAAAATGATGACAAACATATAATAGTCACAATGAAATATATTCTGAGTATTTCCCTTAATGTTTGCAATTAATATAATTTCCTGCTAATAAAGTAATATATTCATTATTTATTACATTGTATTATATATATGACATGTTTTATTGCATATGTTTTATTGCTCTTGTTTTATATTATACTAGACATAGATGTATTGAAAATGAGAAATTCTATAGAAACATAAATTTTCAGCAAGTAGTACTATTTTTAATAAATGTCTAAGTCTGTAAAAACTGAATATATTTCTGTAGAAAAAAATAATGAAGCTTTACCTATCCAATAATTGGACTAGAATCCTATATTTTAAAAAGCAAATGAATTGGAAATTATTTAAAGGTTTGTTTTGTGCCAATTCTTGTGAATACGAACGTAGAAACAGGGATGATATGTGAGTAGATTTAACTCTACTAATTCATTTTGATTAATCGGGGCTGACTATCAACAATGTACAAAGAATCTTAATCACATGAGAAAATATGTTGGTAATATCCATGCATTGTCTTCTTACATAAATAGCAGTTTATAACACAAAATAACTCATCAAAAGAAAATTAGGAAACATGAAACACACCCAGAAGATTCACATTATCAGCAACATCTCTTGCACATTCTTATCCTAAATTTCATTGAGTCATTCTGTCTATAACAGAGCAAATACCATTACTGCTACTTTTATTGCCTTATCTATTTTTTAACTTTGTCACATTTGGGGGATTTATACTTAGTTTCTTATTTTAATGCCTTAATATAGTTATGCTTCATAAGACCAAAGTGGTAGGCCAATTTAAGATCGATTATTTTACTATCATTCCTTCCAGTGCCTCAACTTTCATTTTATTGCCTTGAAAATAAAATATATAGAAAAAAATGTTTCTTTATTTCTGGATTCTGCTACATAATCAACTACCACAATTTTGCAAGTTTGTTTACTGGTCTTCAAAAACATATGACTCAGAGGGGTCAATGAGCATAAGGGGAAACAGCTTGCTGTTACAGGTATTTCTTTTTATTGTATCACGTTATCTTGTTTCTATCTACTTTGTGATAAAAATCCAGTGATTTTTTTAAAGTTTTTTTTCCAATCCACTTAAAATTCCCAATAATATCTAGTTTATCTTTCTGAGTTTCTTTTTAACATATGTTCTCAGTCACTCATTCAAGTCTGCATCTGTTCATTATCTAGTATATCGTGTCCTCAATATCAACTCAGAAAAAAATTAGAGCTTAGTTTTAAATAATTACGCGTTGCGGTAATGAATCAACTTCTGTTTCAAATTATTTTTTTCCTTAGAAAGAATTACAGTAGTATACTTAGTACTTAGTACACTTAGAAGTTAGTTTTATACAGTGTTTCAACCTGGTAAGTTGATCTACAGGGAAACTCAAGGAACCATTACCATTCTCTGGACTGTATCATTATTTCTCTTTGAAATATAATTAATAGTGCATTAAAAATATACATTCCCTGTATGTGTGGTACACCTAAGCTCACAAAGAATTCAATTTCTCTCTCATGTAACAAGTACATTTTTTTAATAAGTAAGGAATAAAAGAAATATCCAAACTGCTGTAGTCTGAATGTGTCTCCCTCCAAAATTAACATGTTGAGATATAATGCCCAATGAAATAGTATTAAGAGGTGGGGCCTTTAGGAGGTAGTTAGGTCATGAGGGCTTTACCCTACTGAATGAGATGAAGACCATTGTGAAAGAAGCTGCACATAGTGTTCATCTCTTTTCAATGCTCCCATCAAATGAAGATACAATGTTCAGGGCACTATCTTGGAAGCAGTGACTTGGCCCTCACTAGACATGGAACCTGACAGTGTCTTAATATTGAACTTTCCCATCTCCATAGCTGTGAGCAATAAACCTACACTTTTTATAAATTAGCCAGTCTAAGGTATTTGGTTATAGGAGCAGGAATGGACTAAGACAAAAACTGAAAGAAACATAAATTTTAATAGAAGTCCTAGCGTGTATAAAGAAAAATTTAGAAGAGTAGTACATAAGATTCCGCAATAGAGTCTATACTTTAATATGGGGTTACTGTCAACCAAACTGTTTTACTGTTTTTAATGGAAAGATGGTTGAGCTATGGTTTAAAAGTAGGGAACTACATAGACTGTTCTCAATATTCTTCTACAAGTTGGTAATTTTCATGTGAAAGTATGTAATTGAGCATGATGCATCAGTTCCCTTTTAAAAATGACAAGTATGTCATATAATACATATATGACATACTTGTCATTTTTAAAAGGGAACTGATGCATCACGCTCTCTCTCTTTCTATATATATATATATACACATACTATATATACATACATATATATACATACATATATATATATACACATACATATATATATATATATCAGTGAAAGGCACCATGAGTGACTATATGCATATATATATATTATATATATATATATTTGAAGGCAAACAGCTTATTTATATACCAATACAAATTTCCAGGAAACAGTTATTGTAGGACATCACAACAGAAATTATGTATTTTGATATGTTTAGTTTATAATTTTTGCAGCCATCCACTGAAGCATTTACTGGCACACAGCACCTTAATATGTATTTGTTGAATTAATGAATTTATTTTTGAATAAGTGAAGAAATTTAAAAAATGAATGATTCTGACTTTCTCTGGAGCCTGGTGACTTTGAGGTCCTAAACCAGATGATATGCAAATTGTTCACTTTCAATTCATGCTGTGTTGAGTAACCAGACACGTGGGAATATAAGCTTGCATTGGCGGGTTGAGATTTCAGTGAGGCAAGTGAGGTGCTGCTTTAGGTACATAATTTAACAGATTGTAATACACTCAGTAATTAGTAAAAAGAATATTTTAAAGCAATATTTTTTAAAATCCAAAGTATATATCCAAACATCAATGTTAATGCAAAAATTCATAATGAACAAAATATCAAGCTGGAAATGATGGTTTTTCTCACTACTTCAGGGATTAGATGAAGTGCAACCCTTCCCTGTAGATGCCAGGGAAAAATCTAAAAGTGCAGAGAGAGGTAACATCTCATGAGACTAACTTTAACCAGTGAAAGACACCATGAGTAACTATATGCAAAAACACTTATAAAGTGTCTGGCAAAAAATTAAGTCTTCCATCCCAACTTCCTTCCCCAGTCTTATATATAAGAGTGGCTTATACTATTTTAAAATCCTGTTTTCAGTGAAACATACTGAGATTGCCATTCTATCCAGTGTTTTCCATCTTTGGACAAATTGTATTGCATGTTAATAATTTGAACTATTTTAATATGCATTTCCATTTAAAACTGACTAGTAAACATCTGTTGAACCAACTAGAAAATGGATTTTCAAAAACGAACCAGTGACTTAATTTAATAATGTGCAGGGAGTCATATAGCTATCAACTCTCAAGCTTGACATAAATAATTTGTTTGACATTTGTGTTTTTCCACTTTTACTTTTTTATTAAAAGAATCTGCATTTGTATTTTATGGAACATTGAGCAAAAATTACCAATGCTGCAATTCTGTGCTGTCTTCTTACAATAATAATTTTTCTGGTTATTTCTACCACACACCTTTTTGTTTGCTTTGTAAGAGGCAAAGTGCCAAAGAACTCTTACTATTTTTTTAACCTATAATTTTTCTAGTTAAAAATATCCTTAATAAATTAATATATGTTTCTATTCTTTTCTACTGGCCTAAAGTGCATAACATCAACACAAGTTCTGAAGTGACTTTATGTTGGCTAAATGATTTCTACGTTTTTGTTACTTCATTCAACAAACATTAACTGCAAGCCTCAACAGGAAGTACTTTTTTAAAGTATACATTCAATATATCAATTAACTTCCTCTGATCTGAAGGGTGGCACTCTGTTTAGGAAATTTAAATAAAAAACAAATGAGACACAAATGAATATTACAAATATTCATGCTTCAAGAGTTAAGAGTCAGACACAACTATAGACTATGAAGGAAGTGAAGGAAGATGACACATGAGCTATGGGTTGCATGAGCACAGTGGAAAAGACATTGTAACTGCAAACTGGGAATCCATACAATCTGTCAAATAATTATTGTCTGAAGGGGGAAATGGTCCTTTAAACAATTAATTAATAGTCATCTGATACTATTTTTATATGTGTTCATACTTGAATCTCAAACACACTGGGAATACATGCAGATGAATTGCTAATAGCATTAAGCACATTCCTGTAAAATAAATATTTGAATAATGTACAGTTTGCATATATTCTACTACAAAATATCTGAAATTATGGAAACCAACTAGCAGGCACTTAAATAAATAAAAAGCTAGGGTTGGTTGGGAGAGAAATTACTTTTATGAAATATATCTTGTGGTTTTGAATTTATCTTTCTCCTCTTCTTTCCCTCCTCCTTCTAAATACTTTTCATTATATTAGTATGAGGAACACAGGAAAAAAAATCTGCAATAATATTAATTCATTGATATTTTAAGCAAACTCTAAGTAATCTGTACTTACTTCTCCATTCATAAAGAAAGAGCAATAAATCTTACAGGTTTTTTTTTCTAATATCCCTATCCCTACCAGTAATTACAGGCAGTATCTCAAAAGCACAGATGCTACATTTACTCCCATGTTATATTAGCTGGCTCCTATAATCATAGCTTAGAAAGTTAGGAACAAATTCAAATAGGATTTTAATTCCAATGAAAATTAAGTTCTGACTAGTTTACTATTAACCATATTTGAGCACTCTTTATTTATATATTTAGTTTTTTGTTCTGTGTTTCTTTCTTTCTTTAAACATAAAATCAACTCCATTTGCACATTATCTAGACAGAACCATTTTCTCATTGTTCAGGGCTCTTAATTACCTCTCTCTTACTGGCCACGCATTTATTCAGGATTTGAAGAGTACAAGGGAAATGTAATTAATGAAATAATATATTGAAGTTCTGAATGAGGTTGGCTTGCTATATCATTTATTAGCTGTGCAATCCCAAATTCCTTAACCTCTCAAGTCTCACCTTCTTCATCAATAAAATGGAGAAAATTAGATCTACCTCATAGAGTCATTAGGCAGTTTCACTGATATTAAACACATAAAGTAGCATGGTGTCTAGCATGAAGCACACTCAATACATTTTAAACATTACCATTTTTTTTAATGTAATTTATGCCAAGTCTCCCTTTTACTGTAGTGGAAATTGAAAGTTCAGTATAACTCAAACAATAGAGAAAGTAAATTGTCTTTTATAAAATGCTATGAAATGTCATAGGTAAGTAGCATTAATATAAATCATCATTTCTTATTACATTACTAGGAATTAAATACATTTTAAGATTTCTATTGTCATTCTTTTGAATATTATCCAAACCACAACTCCTTTTTTGTTAAGGTAGATGGTTAGGAGCTGAGTACAGAAAAACAAATGGTCTATTAGAATTGCTTTGAGAGATGGACATGAATATGTTCATGTACAAAAGCACATATCTAATTTTTAACATACTTCCAAATTAATTGCAAGTAAAAATAAAGATTTGTCTTTCAAATAATGTTATAGGTATTATTAATGCACTATAAAATATAATTATTTTGTGTTTCACAAACAGTAGTCAATTGTGAATATTCTCTCTGTACTCTACTGTGCCAGTATATCCAATCAAAAACCAAAACTCAACTTTAAATAAACATCTTTCTCTTTATACTAAAACCTAATTCAAAATGATTATTTCAGACCCTCATAATAGCAACCATTACTCAGAGAAATCATACTTACTAAACTGGGTTCTGGGCATCATTATAATAATGCTAGAAGGTATTTTAGGTAGTACATTTCCACGAATTTGAAAGTAAGACAATTTTGCAACAGACTAGAAAAGCAATATATAAAAACAGTGGTTATAAGCAAAGCCACATGAAAAGATTTTTTTTTAAACCAGCATATACCTTGATAAAGGTAATATCATGTTTATGAAAGACTGCATTAATCTGACAAATAATTGATCACTGAAAAAAAAACAGAAATTAAAATTCCTGAAACAAGCATTGCCTATACCCATCTTTGTGCAATCCTTAGAAGGGAGACATCAGAAAGCTAACTTATGATTGTAGTCTGTTGGGGGGCGGTAGCTAATGACATTTTGTATGAGTAGACACATCGAAGTATAAAAGATGGTGCTACTATGCGTTTAAATCTTGTATTTCTCCAGCCTCTGCTTCTTGATTACTGTGGTAATCGTTAGTGCTGTTTACCAAATATTCTCAGCTCTCTTCCTTGGGGACACATGGTAGAACTGTGCTTCCCAATCCACTTTGACTTTGGACTGTGTCACCTCTAGATTGAAGCTACAACAGTGAGTATGTGATTCACCATATTCCTCTTCCTTGACATGGCAATCGTTGAAGCATGAGGATGATTTATTGTGAAGCTATTAAAACTTGTAATTTTGTGTTATGTATCTTTTTTTTTTTTTTTTTTTTTTGAGACGGAGTCTCGCTCTGTCGCGCAGGCTGGAGGGCAGTGGCGCGATCTCGACTCACTGCAAGCACCGCCTCCCGGGTTCATGCCATTCTCCTGCCTCAGTAGGGACTACAGGCGCCCGCCACCACGCCCGGCTAATTTTTTGTATTTTGTAGTAGAGACAGGGTTTCACCGTGTTAGCCAGGATGGTCTCGATCTCCTGACCTCGTGATCCGCCCGCCTCAGCCTCCCACAGTGCTGGGATTACAGGCATGAGCCACCGCGACCTGCCGTTATATATCTTAAAAAGTGCATCTGAAACAGTATAAGCCTTAAGACCCCACAAATCCTGGACCTGTCACAGACAGCGTGTGACATAGGGTCGGCATCAGCATATTTCCCTGATATACTACAATGAGAAGGCTACCCTGATGATAAAGGTTAAACATATATAAGCAAGAAATCAATCTTTTTCAGGAAATTTGGGGATTGTCACAGTAGCATCATCTAGATTATACCAACTGACAGAATTGACTAAATAATTTCCTGCAGAGGCAGAATGTGCTAGTTAGATCAAAGTAAATACCTAATTGGCCTGATAGTTATATTTCATATGTAAGTGAATTACCTAGAATTTTGATGCATCTATCAATTGTTCATTAACTTAAATTGAGTGTCTTGGTATCTAAGACTCTAAGAATTGGGCAAAATCAAGTTTGTAGCAAACAAAGCTACTGCTTAGACATTGGAAACTAGTCTAGCTCAGGTGTTAACAGCTAGAGTTGTTAATTTTGAGAGAAATTCAAGCAAGATCTGAGTAGTATCTAAGACATGAGCATAAACCCTCTAACTCCACCTCATTTTCTATTTATACTTTATTACTTAAACAGTGGCAGTCCGCCAACTTATTTGTCTTTTATTGCATTGTGTTAAATAGAAATCCATGAGTGGCAGTGAATTGGACTCCTAATTCAATCATTTATTAGTTGTGTAATCTAGTATGTATAAGTTACCTATCACTCTAAGCCTCCATTTGTTCATGTGAAAATGAGATCAATAATCTTGCTTACAGTTCTTTGTGGTGGGAATTAAATGAGGTCATGTTGGTAGATACAATATTAATGAAATCTATAAGGAAGATGGAGAACTGAAGACAAAATATTACCATTGTTCATCCCTTGAGTGCATGATATTTACATTGAAGTTTTTCATATTTGTGGTAGCTGGCCTCCAAGATGATTCTCAAAATTATATATATATTTCTTTCTTCTTTTGAGATGGAGTCTCACTCTGTTGCCCAGGCTGGAGTATAGTGACATGATTCACAGTTTACTGCAGCCTAGACCTCCTGGGTAGCTGGGACTACACGCATACATAGTCCCACCTCAGCTTCCCTAGTAGTTGGGATTACCGGCACATGTTATTTGTAGAGGAAAGGTCTTGCTATGTTTCCCAGGCTATTCTGGAACTCCTGGATGTAAGCAATCCTCCTGTCTTGGCGTCCTGAAGTGCTGGAATTACAGGCATGAGCCACCGCACTGGGATGTAATCTTTTCTTGGTATTCATGTCCTTACATAGTTCCCTCCCACAATGAGTGATAAGACTGATGTGTTTGGCAATAGAATATTGAAGAAGTAACAGAATGTGACTTCTGAGGCAAAGTTATAAAAATCATTGATTCTACCATCTCTCCTCTCTGGGTTTGCTCACTCTGAACAAAACCAGCAGCCGTGTCACAAGGAAAATCAAGCAGCACAAAAGAGGCCAACACAGGGAAGAACTGAGGCCTCTGCCAACAAACACCACCAACTTGCCAGGCATATAAGTGAGCCATCTTGGAAGCAAATCTTCGAGGTCCAACCTCCATCTGAGGGTAGTCCCGGCCAACATGTTGACTCAGTCTCATGAGAAACCCTGGGTCAGAACAGTGCAGCTGAGCCACCCTCAAATTACGGCCCCCAAACAGAGAGATAGCAAATGTTTACTTTTGTTTTAAGCACACTAAGTATTGGGGTAATTTGTTACACAGCAATAAATAACTAATATAATTCTACTTTGATTCTTCTTTCAGTAATGAAACCATTAACTGTTAAAATAAACACGAAATTTATATCCCCAGAGAAGAAACCAGCAAAGTTATATAATGCTTCACAGGACTTCCACATGCTGCTGTGTTGAGAACCATATTATTGCCTAGGCTCTATGACTTTGTAACAAAGACTCTAAGCCAAGCAAAGTATTTATTTATTGCCTGTATGGAAATATACATAAAATAATCTTTCTGTTTCCATTTATTTCTCCTTGTTTTATTAGTCTACACCAGCTATTTCAAACACAGCATTGTGGGAAAGAGTATCAGTCTGGACTTTGGCATTTTTGTCACACTGTTTCATTCCTTAGCTTCTAAAGTGTCTCTTTTTCTTAAAATGAGAAAGATCTTTAAAAAGAGCCCCAAAACCTGTGCATATTGTTTGCCATCTAGTTCTCACAAGTTAAAAATTAAGCTGGGAGGGACGGGGCCCTCGACTGCTTTAAACCCCACTCTCGGCATGGCTACCACAGGCCCTGCAGCCAAGAGTTCCAAAATTTTAACTGATGAAACTACTTCAGGAATGTCATTTCTATACCCAGATACTTCCCTCATTCACTGTATTAGGCTGTTCTTGCACTGCTATGAAGAAATACCTCAGATTGGGCAATTTATAAGAAAAGGGGTTTAACTGACTCACAGTTCTGCAGGCTACACAGGAAGCATCGCAGCATCTGCTTCTAGCGAGGCCTCAGGAAGCTTCCAATCATGCTGGAAGGCAAAGGGGGAGCAGACACATCACATAGCAAGAACAGGAGCAAGAGAGAAGGAATGAGGTATCACATACTTTTAAATAACCAGATCTCATGTGAACTGAGTGATATAAACAATTCCCATCAGGTCCCACCTCCAACACTGAAACATATGAATAAAAAGTCATGAACTTGCCATTTATAATATAGCATTAACTTCATTATACGACTTCTTTGGGATTATTGTAGGTAAACTGCTGCAGCAACGTGAATGTATGATCACATGATGTCAATAGCTAGCAATTTCAATTAATGTTAAGTGAAACTCTAATTGAAAATTGTCAATAAGGTGGGGATTTTATGACAAAAATAAAACAATCACCATTTTGTGACCAATAAAAATATCAATGAAGTGAGTACAATGGGGAACAACTGAAAATTGTGAAAGTAAATGGACCATAAATGCCTAAATGGATTTTTAAAGATTTTTTTCCAACCACATCTGTAGATTTGATTGATCTGTACTATCTGCCTTATAAGCATCAAGGAATTTATTCTACTTTTTTTTTTAGCATACCTAGAAATCCCATGCAATTATCACTGGAATTAGAATGCTTTAACAATTATAAGGTCGTTGGAAATAACTTCAGAAGTATTCAGGTTTATTTTCTGTCTATCCTGCAGTGACAAAGCATTTGTTTATTGATGTGAGGTATATGAAGTCTTAATCTGCCGCATGTAGCACCAGATTAAGAAGAGAATTCCTACCATGATCAGGTATTTCAGAGAAGAACTACTAATTTTCTGTTCTAGTTATCCCAGAAAGATACTGTTGTTGATGTTTTTCAAGCTACCCATGCTTAACATCCAAATGAGCCATGCCAAGGCAATAAAATTTCTGGTCAGACAATATGACAGACAGTAGTGACATTCAAAATAATTAGCAAACTGAATAGCTCTACATCCCAATCAGAATCAAGACTGCTGTAGTACTAAAACAGGGTTAGAGACCCCTTGCCATACCATGAGTTAACCTAGTCTAGGGGCCGAAGCAGCTGTGCAGTTGGAGAAACCATATTTAGGGGAATTCAAGAAAAAGGCTATTAATAATAAGGAGAGAATTACTTCAATACTTTAATAACTAATATAGCTGTACTGCATATGGCTGATGTCAACATGGCCTGACAAGATAAAAAGCAGTCTTTAAAATTATTCCAAAGATACTGTCACTGCCTAACTCATGTGTGGAACATTTTTTTAGAGTTGCCTTCAGAGCCAGTTTATAAACCATACAAGAAAAAGTCTCATTAATTTTATAATACCTCATTTTTTACCAAAAATGGTATTACACAACTTGTTCACTCACATTATTCACCATACTTGGCTCTGAGTGGCTTTTAGCTATTTCCAAAAATCAGACTCAAACTCCAAAGACAAAAATATATTAAGGATATATTTTACAACGTTTTATGCAGTATCTAAAGCAACTCCAAATGAGGAAAAATGTTAACTGTACTAAGTTCCTATAACATGCTGTTACAGTACTAAAACTTACAAATAGTTATCCCATTTAATTTTACATAATTTTATTTTACATCATTGACCACTTGAAAGTCTGAACTCCAAGACAGCAAAAATTTTAAGACAAAAACTCACAACACTATAGAGATATTGACTTCATCTTATATGATAGCCTATGTCCTAATTATAACTTCTCGCTTTAATTACTAGACTCATAGGTAATAACATATTGAAAGAAACAGGACAAAGTTTCTGAATACCTTAAAGTAAACAGAAGCTAGGATTTATTGGGTGCCCATTACATACCAAGGCTACCACATGTTAGAACTAGTTTTTGCACAAAATTTAAAAGACTATATTTGGCCATGCAGTATGTGACATTTCTACATATCTTGGTATTAACCAACTGCTAACTGAAAATAATTTCTATTATTGTACTTTTTAACAACATTTAAAGCACTTACTATAAAATAGGCATGTGTAAAATCATTATACATTATATTATTCCCTACAATATCCCTGCAGAGTTGGTACTATTTAAATTATTGTTTTATAGATGAAGAAATGGAGGCTTAGATATATTAAGAAGGTTGTCTATGGTGACAGAGCAGAACCAAGATCTTAACCCAGGCACCCTGATTCTAGAACCATATTCTTATCACTCTGCTGCATTGAAGGAATTGATGAGAACACTGACATATGTTTGTGTCAGAGTTTGAGCTGCTATGACAAAGTACCACAGACTGGGTGGCTTAAAGTTAACAAAAAAATTGTGTGTTTGTTATAGTTATAGAGACTGGGAGTTCAACATCAGGGTGATTGCGTGGTGAGTCCTGGGGAGAGCCTTCTTCCTATTGTGGACTGCCCTATTTCCTCACATAGCAAAGGAGGGCAAGAGAGCACTCTGAGGTCCTTTTTGTATGCGCACTAACATCATTCATGAGGGCTCCATTTCATGACCTAATTACCTCCCAAAAGTCTCACTTCCAAATACAATCCCATTGTGTTTGGAATTAGGATTCCAACATGTAAAATTTGAGGGACACAAACATTCAGTCCATTGTAGCTTGCTACTTTTTAAAAGCAGAAATGTTCTTATATGCTTGAATGAAGTTTGTTCACTCTTGTATGATTTGCATGCAAGTGGGCACAGAATGAGTTGACTAACCCAGAAGACAGAAGAGAGAAAGAAGGAGCCTGCATCATGTGATAGAAGAAGCACCCATTCTTCAACATCCCCTAAATATCTTCACTAAAGTAGGGCTCAGAATGGCTGAAATTTCCACTGCAAATTCATCCTCTAGGAAAAGCAACAATTACGTTGTCTTGACACTTGTGTTGCCAATTACATGTCACAAGTAGCTACTTATATACTGAAAATATATGATTTTTAAAGTTATTTACTTTTTAAATTTGTTAGAAAAAGTTTTGTTGTTCAACATATGCACAGAAAATTATAGCAAACATATCTGTACATTTTAAAATGTAGGAAATACTCTGATGTGATCACCTCTTGGTAGGAAATAGGGCAAAGCCTGTACTGAGTGCCTTTCCCAATCTCATCTCCTTCCTTCCTCTCAAAAGACAGTGACTCGACTCATTATCCTGACTTCTGTGGTTTCATTATCTTACTTGTCTTCAGCTTATCATCCATATAGATATCCTTAAATATTATATTTTCAAATTTTGCCCTTTTTAATTTTATGCAAATGGTATCATCCTGTATATATTTTTGACTAATTTTTTAGCATAGCTATAGCATTAATCTATACTGATGTATAACAGTATTTTATTTTCATGGCTATATATAGTTTTTATTGTATACCCCAATTCATTTATTCAGTCTATTGTTGATAGGTAATTGAATTATTTCCAGGTTTTTTAGTTACAAAAACAATGCTTCTATGTTCTAAGAATATTGTTCTTGAAAAACAACTCCTGGTCCACATTTGGAAACAAATCTCTAGGAATAGAATTGTTCATTACTATCTGCTCCTCTCTTATTTCATAAAAATAAAGGGCTGAAGAAGACATTTACAAGCCTTCTCAAAGCCATTTTTGGCCATGTGACTCAGTTCTTGCTAATGGAGTCTCGTGAAAAGGAGGTAAGACATTTTCTGGTCTAGGCCTTAAAAAATTGATATATACTTTCCGTATTCTCTCTCCCCTTCCCACACTCTGGGACACAGACATTCCTGCAATCCAGCTGATAGACCATGCAAAAATAGACAATACCTAAAAAATGACCAAGTAATGTGATAGAAGAATCATTGATCCTTGAATGACTGTGTAGAAGAAGCCACTTCTAAAACTGGACCATTCACTTGGAACTGTTGTTATGTTAAATAAAACCATACCCATCAGCAGATTATGAGTTCTCATTATTGTAACTACTCCTTCACATTTGGCATTATTAGTCATTTTTATTTTTATAATTTTAGTGAGTGTCAAATGCTATCTCATTGAGTGTTAAGTTACATTTCCCTGACTGCTAATCTTTTTCATGTGATTTTTGCTCGATTTGATTTCTTCTTCTATGAAGCACATGTTTAAGTCTTTGGGCCATTTATCTATTTGATTGTCTTTTCCTTAGTAATTTAGAAGAGTTCTTTATAATTTGGGTGAAAGGGCTAGTCTTCTGTCCATTACATTTTTTGCAAATATCTTTCATTCTCTTTATGATATCTTGGTGAGGTTTTTATCCTAATGAAGTCAAATGTGTTAGATTCTTCTTTTATTTTTTGTGCTTTCTTTCTTGTTTTGACAATGCATAAGAAATTATTTTCTTCCCCAATATAATAAAGATTTTCACCTAAGTTCTTCAAAAAGCTTTAGGCCATTACCTTTTGAATTTAGTTCATTAGTTGACTCACTTAAGTTCTGATATGCTTTTTTCCACAGAAGAGTAAAGGGTGGAGTTACAACTGGCAGATGGGAATTCCAAATAATCATGGGTGTGCCTATGAGCATTTGTAGTTTATGTGAATACCATCATTCATCAGTATTGAGAAGGGAAAAATGAAGTTTGTGAAGAGCAGGTTGAAGGTATCATCTCCAGAAGTTTCCTTAGTGAGATTTAGTGGGAATAAATGCTAGACATTGGTGTTAGACACATTCTTAGTTACTCATGTACAGAACAGGCTAGTTCATCAGTGATTCATATGAAAGAGACATGGAGTTCTAACTTTTGGTTAACAAGCTAGACATGCCCCCAACAACGTGACAAGGTTGCTAAGAAATCTAATGAAATCTCAGCCTCCATTAAGAATACAATGTCCAGAACTCGAGAGATAATATCTCCCCTGTGGCTTGTACTAATTAGATAACAATTAGGCTCTTGCATCAAATTTCAATGCTACTCTTGAAGAGGTACATAGGCAAACTGGAGTTTATCACAAGAGGAGCAGTCAGGTTGGTGTCAGGGTGGGAAACCACTGTGTGTGTGTGTGTGTGTGTGTGTGTGTGTGTGTGTGTATACATATACAACAGTTGATGTGACTGGGAAATCTTAGAATGCAATCGAGTAGACGTTGATAGGCCATAATAATTGTGTTTAAAAATTTTAAACATTGCCCTATCAAAGAGGTGACACATATTTTGTCTATATTTCTCTAAGTAAACACCAAGAACCAATGGACAGAAGTTATAAGGAAATAGACTAAGTCTATTAAAAAGAATCTTAATAGCAGTTGGAGAATTTGTCTTAAAAAGAACTGATTAACTCAGGAAAGTAGTGGTCTCCTTCCCCAATACTGATGGCACTGAAATGGAATCTGAAAGATAATTTATCAAGGATGTTACTGGTATTAGCTAATATGTATTAGTGCTTACTACTGACAAGGAATATTCCATGCACTCTGCCTGCATTTTCCCATTTAACCCTCACAGCAGCCCTAGAAGATGAGAACTACTTTGTCATTATTCTCTACATAAAGAGTTTGAAGTTTAAAAGGTTAAATAATTGCCTTTGTAAAAGGCAGAAAGCACATCTATCTTGTGTTCAGAGAGAGAGTTCTCACCCACACTGCTTCTCACTTGTCAATCCTGTAAAAAAGATTTGCTGTACTGGGAGAGAAGCCGTACTGTGTGTCCATCCAATTCTGAGGCTACTTGATTCCAACAAAATTGAAATATATTATCTTGGAAGCTAAAACAGTAACGAAAGTAGACAGTGGAAGAAATGGGAAAAGGGACAGGTAAAACTTAATAAGGAAGGGAAAAGTCTGGAAAGATTGTATGTGCAAGGCACTGGTCCAGGGAAAATACATTCCTGGCTGATCGTAGACAAGGGATATTGCCTGAAGTTTATATACACGTGAGAGCAAGGTGATGAGGAGTAGAAGGCAGTAAAGACATGAGACTCATAAAAATTTTTCTTGCCTTAGCAGAGGCATCATTTGGCCATGTCATATGAGGTTCCAAACACTGCATTTTGTTAATAGTCAGAAAGAACTAAGGAAAACAAAGAAAGAATTTCATTTCCCCCATCAAGTATCAAGAGTCTTGCAATGAGCTTACTTTCATTATTTTTCTTGCAAGTAATTAATACCACTCTTTCCTTACAGAAAGCATTCGCAGAAAGATGGTAATTAGATCCAAATGGACAATTTGTAAGGAGTCATTCATGAACGGCTTGATTTAACAAATATTTATGGAGTGTTTACTATTTGTGAAGCATTTTTCTAGACACTGGAGACACAGCAGAAAATAGTATTCCCCTACTCCTAAAAATAATTACCCCTAAAAATAATTTCCTATATTTTTTGAGTGTATTTTCTGTGGCAGAAAGGCAACACACAAAAAAGATGAACATGTAAAATTTAAGGTATGCTAAATAGTCATAAGGGCTAATGAGAAAAATAAAGCAAAGAAAGTTGGTATATATGGAGAATTATTGAAATCGTATAGGATTTTAACCAAATATGCAAATTAAAAAGAAGAGAAGGAAAATGGTCATGAAAGGGGGATGTGTTGAGGCTCATGTGGATTTAGTTCATGCTTATGAATCACAAGTATTGTGAAAGGTCTTGTAGCAAAATGAAAAGGGCATTAGACACATCACTTCTCTTATTTTATCCTCATTTCCTCATCTTTAAAATGGGAATTCTAATATTAGACCTGTTGGCCACAAAAATGTGGATGTGTGTCTCTAATGAGTCATTGAATATGAATGCAGTCTTCAAAATGTAAAAGAGTATATACATGTAGCTTCATCTTATCACAAAAAATAATTTATATTTTCGATCCCCTCTTCTTCTCTGGGTCTCTGAATATATATGTGTGTGTGTGTGTGTGTGTGTGTGCATGTGTGTGTGTGTGTATACACACACATATATTTATATATATATACATATATAGTCACAGATGTGTGTGTATATATATATATATATACACACATATGTAAAAATACAAATACAGACAAAAAGAAAGAAGGAAGAAGAGAGGGAAGAAATTTTCTATTGAAAGAAAGAAAGATACACACATATGTTGGTCCAGTCCATCTTATAAGTCATACAATGTATCTAGTACAAACATTCTGACAAGGAATAAGCATATCTGTGGTGGAAACCCAATAGTAGGGTTCTTCGAGTCTCTAAACAGACTAGGGGCAACAGAATTCTTCTGTATTTGGGTCTCCCTGGATTACTGAAGACTTTGCAGGGCTCTTTTAATCACCTCCTGAAATGCTGGTTTCCTTCCTCCATCCAAGAGACTCGACAAAATGGAACTTGTCAACTGTGCTTACGGCAATAAATCTCCTTTCCAGCATTTCTCCTGACATTCTAATGCCTTCCTGAACATAATCAAAAGGTCATTTTCCACCTGTATTCATCTTCTCCAAGCTGCCTTATATTTCTGCAAATCCAAGTTTCAACAAGTTTGATTTCATTCCTTCTACAGTATTTTATTTGCTTTAACCAAGCTAAAAATCCCACTGTCACCCTATGTTGTACTCTAATAGCTTGAATGGGGATTATACTTTTTTGGCTGACTGTATAATGTGGATACATTTTGAAAGCTGAACTGCTCCTTTTTCTTGAATGACAGAGAATTAAATGCTACCTTTCAGATATTGCCAAAGGATTTCTTATGATTTTGTTTCCCACATCAATTCAATAACTTTCTATGTATCAATTGTGCAGAGATCAGCGTTCTCACCTACATACAAAACAATCCCCCAGAAGCCCTCAGACTTGAACAGGCCTTTCGCTGTGCAATCCACTCAGCTGTAGTCATGCATTTCACAACCCTGTCCACAGTTTCTAGAGGAGCAATTCTATTATCAGAATTTGCGAACTTATGCATTCTTGATTGCTGTGGATTTCTTTTTAACTAGAAACAGTTGTATTTAATTTTGGTAGGTTCATATTATTGATTTAAGTGCAATCATCGTTTCTAAACAACACTATCAAGAATACAGTGCCATTTATAATATACGTTTATTGGGGTGGAAGGTACCAGGAATATCCCCAGAAAAATATATGGGAAAACCTTGGACTTCATCTTGCCAGTGATAATGGCAAGAGACCGGCCTGTATTTGCTAATTTTGTTTAACATATTTGTGACACTCATCTACCTAAGTCAGTCTGTCCACTTCCCTGAAATGAGTCAGCGGCTTATGATTTATTAACAAGGCAGGGCTTTGGCCTTTCACTTGGAGGAACAGAATCCCAGGACGATCTGCGGGAACCACAACCTCACCAAGATCTCCTCTACACAAGGCAGGAGCCATAGTTTACCCGGGGGCCGGTGTCGCCTCAGCCTCCTCCGGGAAAGCTCCGAGACAGCGCATCCAGAGCTAGAGCGCCGCCCACCCAGCGGTCCTGGGTCAGCTCCGCGGGATGCAGGACAAGGGTCCTCGGCCATCGAAATCACTCTCCGCTCATAAAGACACGGTTCCTTGTAGAGGAAGGATTGGTGTACCATTTGGGACCCTCCCAATCCCCCAGAAGTATCAATGGCCCTTGCTCCGAACCGCCGGGTGCGGAGACGCACGACAGAGCAAGTGCCCACTGAGAAGAGCAGCGGAGAGAAGAGGAGAGAGAAAACCAGGAGGGAGAGACTGAGCCCGCTTCCCCGCCTGTCGGGTTTCGGGACCAAACGCATCTCGGGCTGCTGGGCCCCGGAAGGACGCAAACCTCGGGCAGCAAAGGAAAAAGACCTCCCCCTCGCGGGCCCTGGGGCTGAAGGAAGAACTCGGTTGGAGGAAGGGAGGAGGAAAAGGAAACGCTCATCTTTTCCCGTTTTGTTTTATGTTTTGGTTTGGTTTGATTTTTCCTCCACTGAGCGCAAAACAGAATCAGCCGCGACTCTGGCTGGCCTGGAGAGCATCCATTATTTAATGAAAAACAAGAGATCATTTTTTTTCTTCTTCTTCTTTGAAATAAGTTCAGCAGCACTTCCCTCTCCCTCTCCTCCGTTCTTCTCCCTTGCCCAATTTACCCTCTCCACCATTTTTACCGTTCCCATGAAATAATTTTCCTCAGGTTTTATGTCTCGTGTATCAGGTTTTCATCTGCTCAAATGCCTTCAGAACATACTATTCCGCTAATGTGGACTTCCACTCCCAATGTTCCAGTCCTTTCCAGTCCAGGGATTTCTTTAATAGGTGAGGTTTGTCCTTCCCTTCCTTGGCCCTGTAACAGGAACACACATTTTCATTCCATGCCACTTGCATTCCAAACCCTTGCTGAGTTGCTATTTTGCCTGCAGGCTCTCAGAGAACATCAAAGGAATTTGGCTTTGACTGTCTTTAGACCCTGGGTTGGTCCCTATGGTGGAGCTGCTCTCTAGATTTGGAATCCGCACATCTTCACTCTTTTCTTTAAAGCCTATTTCAGTCCCCAGCAGTAAAACCATGTAAAATGCTGAGGCAAAGCTGTGAAGGAGGTTAGTTTGACTTATATACTTATATTCTGCACCTCCAACCCAGCTGTTGCCATTTTCTCTCCCCCCTCTTCTTTTTTCCTCATCTAATTTCTCCTCTTTGTTAGAACTTGAGTTTCTGGCATCCAAAAAGTTAATTCAACTTCCTTGAATCAGATATGAGAAAAGAGCTGGAATTTGACATTTTGGCTGTGTTGTAAAGTTGTATCACACAAGCATTCATTCAGCAAACATGCATTGAGCACTTACTATGGGCTAGACATTGAGAAGAGGCCAAGGTGCTAAAAACATAAATGAGGTTTCTATTGCATCACCTTCTCTCCTCCCACTGCCTTACTATCTCTTCCATTATAGCCATCTTTATCATCACCATTTTTTGTAATATTAACTAAGTCCTTAATATATGCCGGACATTGACGTAGGAGCTTTACATGTGTTTTGTCATTTCAATAATATAAGGATTATCTGAGATCAGCAGCATATTAGCTCCATTTTGTAGGTGAGAAAACTGAGGATTAAAGAAGCTAAGAAGCTTCCTCAAATGCACACATCTAACATGTGTTGATGCAGGGGGTTGTAAACCAGACAGTCTGACTCCAGACTTGTGGTACATCCCTTCTAAGGAGTCACTGTTTTAGTGGAGGAGTCAGACTTGTAAACAGATAAATGTATCAAAGAGGTAAGTGCTAAAGCTGTAGAAATACAGTGGCAGCAGTGACTAACACTGCCTAGGGGAATCAGGAAAGGCTTAACAGACAATTTGACATGTGAGGTGGGTCTTGAAATATGAGTGGGAGTAACCCAGTCAAAGGGATGGGAGTGGGAGGTACATTCAGGCTGAGGGAACCACATATGTAATTAAACGGTTGAGAAAGGCTGCCATGGTATGTTTAGAAAACAGTGAGTGAAGCGTAGAGTTCATGACAGAGTGTTGTGATATGGTTTGTGAAACCAAAAAGGGGCAAATATACAACTAGGGGCAAGAATGTCAAGGACTCTATAGATCTTGCTATTAAGTGTAGCTTTCATTGTGAAGATTAAATGACTCCAGCAGAGATTTTAAAGAAAGGAAGTGACATAATCAAATTTGTCTGTGTCTGTCTGTTTGTGTTAAGATGAGCAGGGGAAGTCTGGAGAATAAAGAGAAGAGCCAGATGGCAGGGACACTGGTTTTAAACTTGCTATATAGATATGAGAGGTGATGAGGGCCTGGGCTGGGAGTAGTGAAACTGGAAAAAAGGGATTTTTGCTTTCCAAAGAATATTGGCAATAAGACTTCTGTTTCTGGAATAAAAGGCTTTAGGTACAAAGAATTTCATTCAGAACAAGGAGGCCTCTTAAGAGAGCACCAAACCAGCCCTCTTCCTTTTATAGGTATAGTTAAAGTCTATGAAGCTTAGGAAGATGAAACCACGCAATCAACTAGTGGAAGAATAACAGCCACCTTTTATTCAGAGACTACTATTCACACATTTAACATTCTGTAATACATTTGACCCACATAACGACTTTTCAGGGTAAGTACAAAGCTACTCTTAACTGCGCTCAACAGAAGAGGAAGCTAAAGTCAAAAAGTTGATGAAGGCTACACAGATAGAGACAGAACAGGGATTTAAAATTATAGTTATCTAATCTCGCAATTTGTGTAGTTTTTATATGCCATGTGCTGAGATTGAAATTTAGGCATCCTTACTCTTAAACTCTGGTTCTCTTCACTAGTCATTGATGCCTTTATACTCTGTTAAATGCATTTCAAGCATCACTGGGCACACATCCCTGACTGTCTGCCTACTCTACCAATATGCCCTAAAGCAGAATTTATTATGGATTCATTGCCTACCAAACACACTAAACAAAATATAATGATGATCTTTTTTAAAACTTGAGGGGTTTTAATGGTGAAAGACAGAGCAAATATAAATGATATTAACATGCAACTACAGACATAGATAATCGAAACTTCCTATGGCTTAGACATGAAGGATTAGGGGATATTGAGAAACAGCTAAGGTTTATCAGCACTTTCCTGTCCCAGTGACTTTGCATGTATTATTTTATTTGAGAAAACTGACTTGGAGAGGTGAAATAACTTTCTCAGTGTCACACAAATTCTAAATAGGTAAGCCAGAACTCAAACTCCAGTTTATCTGACACCAAACTCAGGCCGTTATGCACTGTGTTGCTGCTGTTACAGTGGCCAGTGAAGACAAAAGTCAGCTCCATGGACCATATTGTACTAATAAATGTTTAACAACCAGCACTCAGAGAAAAAGCCTTTATTTGTAGTATTTGGCAATTTCCAATTTCTGCAGGGCATAAATAATGCCACAGTGGCAGATTTCAAGCTGCCAACATGACATCACTGGAGGCTGCATTGAGAAGAGATGTGCACAATCAGCTCTGGAGAGCCTCCAGCATACAATTGTACCATGGAGGAAGAGATGCTGGAGCAATATTTTAGAGGCAAAGTGGGAGAGTAGGTAATTTTTGGAGAAAGCTGGGATAATGAATAAAGGCTGGAGCAGGGATTGAATTATTCTTCAAATAATTATATTTGAAGAAGATAGACAGATTAAACTAAGTGTGGTTAGACCAAATGAAAAGAATGACTTAGGATTGGCTGAGGGCAGCTCCTTCCTTAAAATGACCATTCCTAAGAGTTGGCAATTTTCTTGAAGAAGAAGACCAAAATATTGATTTATTCCATCTGAAAATGTTTGTAGGCACTTGTTTTGATGACTGCAAAAACTGAAAACATACCTCAAAGATTGAAATCAGGAATAGTTGAATACAAAAGATTAACTGATATGAATTTCTGGCTATTAATCTACTTTTTTGTTTCTTTATAGCAAGGATGACAGCAAACTGATGAAGTTGGTATATTGATGGAAAAATTTATAATAAAATTTAAAAGAATAACTCACCTTCAAAACCTGCTTGTATTGTCAAACTGTTTGAGTGTACCTTATATTGACCTTGTATCCAGGGGAAATAAATGTATTTGCAAATACTTCAGATATCTATTTTGTCACTTTATTTCACATCTTTCTAAGTATAAAACAACACCAGTGCTTCCGTTATTCCCCACATAATTAGATAATGCATAGGATAGTAAGGAGAAAAAAACATTATCTGGTACCTGCAAATAATGCGCTCTTTCCCTCTGAGCTGATAATCTAGCCCTTTAAAATAGGAAAGGATGAAAATAAAATTAGGTTTCCCACGTTGCAGTATATTTCTATTTTCCCCCCGCTAATCAAAAGGTCCCTGTTGTGCACAATCTGGATGGAAAAGCCTATTAGTCCTAAGAATCAAGTAAAAATAATATAAGGAAAATGAAGTGGATGTCTGTCATTTTTGTGTGCTCACTGGGGAATGATTTTCTGTCCCTGTGATTTTGAGGTGCTGTCAAACATGATGCCCTCCTGCTCCCTGACTACAGGGGTGGACACAAGACTACCTGATCAATCATGGTACTGGATCTTCTTGTTCACAGTAAATTGCTCAAAAAATGGACCGAGTCAATCAAACCTTTTCCATGAAGTTTTCTCTGTCTTAAGGATTTCAGTTTCTGTGGCTATAAGCTCAGATCCTCAGGTAACCATGTTTTCAGTAAAGAGGAAGGTGGGCTGTAGCAAAGGAAATTGAGAAAATAAAGACAACCAGAGGCACGTGGAGCTAAAATGTGGAAAGAAGGACAAAGACCCTTGAAAACTTTGCTCAAATGCCTGGCTCCTGCTATGCTTCAACAAATACACACTTCTGGAATTTCTGGTGATTTAAATCAGTAAGTCCCCTCCTCATCTTTTTGGTTTTTTTTAGATGGAGTTTCGCTCTTTTTGCCCAGGCTGGAGTGCAATGGTGCGATCTTGGCTCACTGCAACCTCCGCCTCCTGGGTTCAAGCAATTCTCCTGCCTCAGCCTCCCATGTAGCTGAGATTACAGGTGCGCACCATCATGCCTGGCTAATTGTGTATTTTTAGTAGAAATGGGGTTTCACCATGTTGGTCAGGCTGGTCTTGAAATCCTGGCCTCAGGTGATCTGCCCACCTCGGCCTCCCAAAGTGTTGGGATTACAGGTGTGAGCCACCATGTCTGGCTCCCATCTTTGTTTCTTTTGCTTAGGCTGTGTAGAGTTGGGTTTTGTTGCTTTCATTACAAAAACCACAGAAAAAAAAAATTCCTTACCTGAGGACAAACTCCTGCAGGCTGGCCGGGATTATACAAATAATGTCTCCTTAACTTTTAAAATAATGTCTCCTTAACTTTTAAGAAAAGGGGGAAGGAGGTGGTAGTGGGAAATTACTAAGAGCTAAATTTCTTTCTTGGCCTATATTCTAAGATAAGCTAATTTATTCTATTTTTGTTTCTCTGACCTATGACTCATCTCTCTTTGGACATCTCTTTCTTTCATTGGCACACAGACCACAATACATTCACTGCTCATTCTTTGATTCATAAATTATCATGGCTTTATTATTTAGCTCAACATGGTAAGTCTTAACAAAACGGGCCAAAGATAAGGCATTAAGCTGGGAAGAAAAGAAAGGAGAGAAGAGATGTTGATCATTTTCAAACTGGAAGGACAAATCATCACTAGGAAAAGTTACTTCAACTTAAATTTCACAGCGGGAATTTATGCAGATGGGGTAGAGCTACCTCAGGATAGAGTAATTTGGGAGTTTTTCTGAGTCCTTCTGGGAAGATCTCAGGAGCTGGAGGCAGTAGGAGGGAAGGCTTGAGAATAGAAGATGACTCAGCTTCTGGTGTGGGACAAAGCTACTGATATGAGTAACTAAGGCCCACCTTCTCAGTCTGGCTAAATGATGTGATTCCCACCCTGTATGTGCATCTCAAGCTTCCCCTTGGCGTTCCTTTAGCTTCAGAGGCTACATCTAGTGTTCATTTAATCCCGGCCTCGATATTTGCCTCAGTCCTGAAAAATCCAAGGAATAAACATGGACTATGCACTTCTTGAAATGTCTTTGATTCTAGAAAAATTAGTTGAGAAGTACACCATTTGTAGATTCTGTGCGTGTGTGTGTGTGTGTGTTTGTGTGTGTGTGTGTGTGACAGGGACTGGCTCTGTTGCCTAGGCACTATCACAGTTCATGATTCACTGCAGCCTCCACTTCCTGGGCTCAATCAATCTTTTCACCTCAGCCTCCCAAGTAGCTGAGACTATAGGTGCACACCAACATACCCTCCTAATTTTTTGTTTGTTTGGTTGGTTTTGTAGGAACTGTAGGAACGAGGTTTCCTTATGTTGCCCAGGCTGGTCTCAAACTCGTGGGCTCAAGAGAGCCTCCCAAAGGGTTGGGATTATAGGTATGAGACACTGCAACTGCACCAGTTGGAAATTCTTTTCTAATTGGATACATTAACCACTCTTGCATAGGATGTTTCACTCTGTAACTTGGATGCCATTCTCCATAGTAAGACAAATAATTTTCCTTATGAGGTATATCAGTTAACTAGTTTTAACAGCATTTTAAAACCAGAAGCCAAGGTCTGAAATAATTTCATCTACCTCCTTACCATCTAGAACACATCACAGAATTCTGGTGATTTCAATGAAAGCATATACATATTTATAAATCTTTTTATGCATTGGCTTATATAACTGTTTTATATGTATTGCATTTTCTCACAAGCTTTTCACCTTGAGGTACAATTATTAAGTGAATTTCTTTCCCTTACAAAGAAAAGTAAACACATTAAACACCTCCACGTAATGTTAAAATGCTGGACATTAAATTAAATTAAATATTTGTCCTATAGCACTGTTAGCTGAATAGGTTATGAATCATCTATGTTTGTGGAATACATTGCTTAGAATTATAATTTTGCCAAATTCACCCTGTAAAGAACAAAGTATAAAGAACACTGAGGCTTAAATTCTTTAATACTTAACTAAGTCTGTAGACTTTGCAATATTGGTACTGCATCCATAATCATGCCTTAGTGAAATGTTATACAGAACATCATTCAGAATGTTTGCTCTGAAAAGACTTTGGATAAATGTGCCGTATTTGAAATTGATTAATGGTGTCTGATATGCATCCAGTCTTCTTATTATCCCAAGAATTTGACTTAAGTTACAGGGTATCTTGTATATTTACCCTACTTGAAAGACATAATTTGCATTTAAACAAGAATGGTGCCCATAGCTGTGTTAATTTTGATTAAGTGTTCTTCCTCCCGGGACCTCAATTACCTACCTCATATGTTATATGAGGTAGTTACATTATTCCAGTGGTTTATCTAACTGTCCTGGAAACCCTTAGAGTGTCTACAGGAGGAGGTGAAACCTCAGGCTGCTTACAAAGATTCAGCCCAAACAGCCCCACCTCTAACAGCTTATTAATTACCTTGCACAATAACTCATGTATTCATGAACCTGACTTTTTGAATCCAATAGTGTCTACTATGTGACTATTTTAAACATATGGAAGAATGTAAAACAGACACAAACTTCTGTCCTCATTGAGATTTCATTCTAGTAGAGAGACAGACAATAATCAAACTACATGAGTTAAATGGATATTATGCTATATGGTGATAAACTCTATGGAGAAAAATGAAGCAGGAAAAGGAATTTGGGGGCTGGGACTGACAGTTTAAATACTTGTTTATGGAAGGCTTCAATGAGGAGGTAAGCTACCGTAATAACTTGGGGAAAAGAGTTCCAAGGAGTGGAAAGAGCAAGTGCAAAGGCACCGATGTGGGAGTATGCAAAGTACATTTAGGAGCAGTGAGGAGACTACTATGATTTGAATAAATTGAACAAGGGGCAAATATAAAACTGGACTTCAGAGTATGCATGTATTAGAAGAAAAAGGGTTGCTTTTAAGCATTGAAAACAGTTCACTTAAGATACTTCTAAGGCCCTGAAAAGCATTAAAATTCTAAAGTTCTTTCTTATAATATATGATCAGTGATCCTTGACTCCATGTTATTAATACTTCTTTTTTTGTTAATCAATAATAGAGTTTTTGCTCCTTAGGGAGCAAAAACATACATTTGTCCAACCATCGTTTGTTAATACTTTCCTGTGAACTTAACTATCTTACTTAAGAGGAAAATAGTATGGAAAATTGGGGCCTAGTAATTAATTAATTAATTAGACTTTCTAGAAATCCATTAGATCCAAAGTGACTTTTTTGCTTTAGAAAATCAAATATATATTATTTTCATATTTTTACAGTCATTATATATTCACCTCATATTCCTGAATAGAACTATTGCAGATCATAATGGGTAATAAATATATATCAAAGAAATTAGAGATAACTCTGGGAAACTTCTTGAAAATATATAATTCAAGTTGGAATTTCTTTAAAGGCATCAAACACTTAAATAGCCATACCTTGAGTCATTTTCTACTTACTCAAAACTAAAAGACCTGCTTATTTCAGTTGAAAGTGGGAAAACTTTGAAGAGAAATCCTCAAGTTAAGGGGTAAACCCAGACTCTTACACTTTTTGTATGTAAATTTATACACTTACTGAAATCACCCACAAATTATGAGTTTTTAATACACTGAGAGTTTTTGAAATTCATTTAATATAGTGTAAGTTTCATAGTCAAATAGCGTAGCTAAATTCTTTCTTCATTCCTCATGTCTGAGACAGGAAGGAAAATGACTAAGTGGATTTCTAGTTCAACTGAAATAGCTATGTATTTCTTTTTGTACCCAGACTGAACATTCTGTGAAATAAGAACATAATGTTTATCATAGACTTTGAAAGTTTTTACTCTCCTGAGCTTCAGTGATATGTCTTTATTAGCTGGCATTATTGAAAAGGTGAGTTGCAGAATTGTATTAATTCATTGACAGATGATACTGTTAACAACTGAAATTAAACAATAAAATTCAATGGACTTGGGAAGAGATATACCCAGAGGTCCTCCATGTGTATTTAATACAATAACTTTGGAAATCATTTACTTAAAAACAACTTGGAGTCTAGAATAAAACAGAATTTTATATTATACAGATGTAATCTCTGTGCCTCTTTAAGATTGTGTTTCTTCCTAGACTTAATATAAATCCCACTTAGGCCCTTATTTCAATCTTTGTCATCAGTATATTAGCCTAAGCCCTAGCTTGATCACCTAGAACCTTTACTAATCAGGTTTCTGTGCTCAGCATGGGCCACTTTGTTTTATTCTAATTGATGGCATATAATTTTAGTACAGCCTTTCTTCTGTAGATTGTTTCCTCACTTTATACTTCATAGTTATCACCTTGTTGACTAGGACTTGACTCATTCTTTTTGCCTTTCCTAAACCTTAGTCTGCCTAGACCAATCATTGAAGACCCAATGGAAACCCCTTTCATCTTCTCATATCATGAACCCTTGTAAGATGGTTTGAAGGCTTATATTCCATTAGGTATTTTTCTCACCACTTATCATCCATTCACAAAAATTTATCAAGTGTCCAATCTATTTTTAAGTATGGCTGAACATGCATTCACCGTAGGTGACGCTTGAAGGAGAGAAGAGTGAATCAGATTTGTTGCATGCTCTGGAACTGCATACAATTTTGTTCAAGGAGTAGGAAGGCAAACAAAACACAATGGTATACAGTGGTAGGAACAAATGTTCTCAGCTTCCAAAACTATCTTTGTTGAAATTTCATCTCCAGTGGAAATTTTGGCGGTGCTAATCAGGGGAGAAAAACTACTTCCATTCTTCAAAGGCACACACAATTGACTCGGCTATGTTGTCACATACTGATGGGATTAATATTTTAGTACAGGGAAGGGGTCCTGGCCTGAGCCTTGGGAATCCTGAGTCCTTATCTCAACAGACCGTAAGTAGGAAACTTGCCTCCGGTACCATGTCACTGCTTTTGAGCATATCATCCTGATTGATGATGAATTCCTTTATACTTAAAATACAAAGCTCTTCTCATGTCCCAGGTAACGTGAAATTTTTTCCCCCTGGATAAATGTTATTCATTTTTCCCTTTCAGCAAGATGTACCCTTATGATTCTCTGATGCATGACTAAACTATACAATAAATATTATTGGAATACTATGTATTCTCAATTGTAACAAAAGTGACTGTGATCTACATGTAGCTGGAAACACTCTTCCTCTCAAGAATTAGGTAAGATGGATCCAATCCCACATTGACTAGATTTTGAAAGATTAATTCGATTACATTACTTTGTGGAGCTTACATTTTTATGTTTATTTCTAACTCTGAGCTCTTGCTTATGCTACATTATTTCAGTTTAGAAGTGGTCTTGTCATCTCATATGCACTGTATCTGGCCTACGCAGATAGGGTGCGCTGCTTTATTAATAAATTTCCTTAATGAAAATGTGTGTGAAAGGATGAGAGAACTTATGTTTAAATCAATCGCCCCACCAAAAAAACCATACATTTATTGCTACGCATTCTTGATAAGCAAAGTGGATAGTGATGAGCAAAGTAGATAGGAATTCAGTTCAAGAATCAGAATGCCTGGGTAGAACCCTGGCTTTACCATTGCTATGAATCATTGTGTGACCTTGGAAAAGTTGCTTCGAGTCTCTGGGTTTCAGTTTCTTCATGAGTAAAATGAGGATGAAAATAGCAACTCCTTCAATAAATTTTTATGAGGGGAATACATCTATTAATTCATATAAATTGCTTAGAATATTCTAACATGTAAGTGTTGCTAATTAATAGATCTAAAGACCTTTGAACATTTCTAAACTCATGCTTTGTATTGTTGCCTTCGTCCCCACTCCCAGGCCAAATTTCTATTTTCATGGTTATTATTTTGTTTAATATAGAGCCGTTTCACCATTTTTTTTTAATGACCAATAGCCTTTGGAGTTACTAGTCCAAGTGGCTTATCAAGGCATTTTCCTAAACTAGGACACATTCCTTTCTAAAAACAATTCTGGAAGCAGTGGACTACACATTCAAATATATATTATACATATGCCCATATATATATGCATGTGTTTGTGTATAAGTATAATATGTACATATTTGTATAGTCAGTTGCTCCCAGAATTCCACGTGTGTGTTTGTGTGTTTGATCTCATTTGATCTTCACAGCAATCCCATGAGGCTAGCACTATTATCACTTTTTACAAGAAAGGAGACTGAAGCTTAAAGAGGTTAAGTGAGTTGACCAAGATCATACAGTTAGTGTCAGAGCCCAAATCAGTCTTCCTTTTGCAAATCTACCTTTAAGCAATTATGCTGTATTAACTCCCATCGTAAAATAGAGGAGATCAGATAGAGCGTTCGCGGACCTAGGTTAAATATATTGTCAGGTCGATTTATTCTAATACACCCCACTTACAACCACAGTGAAAAAGAAAACAATTCCCTAAAGCAATTCTACAGGAGTCCATGGAAATGCTAGCATTTCAGCCAAGCTTAGCTCAAGGAATATAGAGTTAAAAGGCATTTGCCTCCTAGCGATAGCCTTCCTGTTGATTCATAAGATGCAAATGAAATGTTAATGTTTAAACCAAGTGGGAGAAACTACTTATTTTGAGAGGAAAAAAATATGGTATAAAAGCTCTACTCTAGAATATTGTTAATGTAAGGAGAACTGGAAGAACAGGACAAGCAGGCTTTTGAGAAAAATCACAGCTGAAGATAGGGCTTAATAGTTTAGAGCACTAAAAGATAAACAATTTTAAAAATCAGTGTGTGAGTGTGTGTGTGTGTGTGTGTGTCTGTGTGTTGCGAGTCTCCAATCTCGCTGGTAACTCGCAGTTTTCTGATGAAAGTGCAGTATGTAACGATTACTAGTTGGCATCCTCTGCTGGAGACCAGTCTCACAAAAGGGTGACCCTGTGATGCACGAAAGGCTATTTAATGCCCCAGCGAAGTGCTTCAGGGACCAAGATTTTATTATTCTTTGGTGATGAGAGTTGTGATCCTGCATCCCTGATTTAGAGCCACTTAGGGCTCCGACAGCTCCACCCCGGTGTTCTAGAGGAAAATCTTCCTTCATGCTCTCTGCCTGATTTGAAAGCAACACAGCTTCCCGATGTTCCTCCTGGGAGGTGGTTCAATCTTTAGAAATTGCCTAAGAAGCCTGTCCATCTGCTGGAGTGCCTGGCTTTCGGGAACGGACCAAGACGGACTTGGCTTTTAATCTGAAATAATTTGAGGATTTTCTGTCTATAACTTAAAATCACCGCTTAACTCAAAGTAAAAAAGTGACACGCTCTCTAGAGGGCTTTTGTAGACATTGGGAAAATCCGTATGACGAAGTACGGTTTAGAAATTCCGGATTTAATTTCCCCCGGGAAAAGCAAATATCTTCTGTTGGTACCGGGCAGTCGACTCACGTAGTCTTCCTTTAAAACCAAGTCTATGCCAGCCGGGTGTGAGGGGAGTGGTGGGGGTGAGCAGGGGGAGGAGAGAGATTCGAAAAGTACAGGAGGAATCAGTCCAGTACAGGGGTTGCCCCTGCCAACAAGTAGCTATTCCTGTTAACTCCCAAGAAGCAAGTTTCCACCTTTGCCACTTCCTCCTGCCCTTTCCTTTCCTTTTCCCTTCACTCCCGCTCTTGGACCCAAGGTTCGCTCCCCACCGCCACCGCCCTGCCCCACTATTCTCTTTACAGGACAGAAGGCTGCAGCAGCACGGCGGAGAAAAATCTCTGAGGAATGAGTCAGTGGGATGGGCGTATGGGTGGAGGGAGAGGGCAGTCGATTTTTAAACCTCAGCGAGGGTGGGTGGGCAGTTGGAAGCCAGAGGCCTTATCACTGGGGCGCTGCAACATCACAGAAAGTGTTAGTCCCAGGGCTCTCCCTGGCGCGCGCGGCTCCTGTGCTTGCTTCTTATTGGCGGACCTGGCCCTGGGGGCGGAGCCGCGGTGAAGCACCGCTCATCCGGGCTCCAGGACCGGGGCACGCGGTTCTCCCTGATCCCGGAGCTGGGCTCAGGGCTCGGACTCAGTCCTGCAGCGCCTCTAGGCTGCGGATCCGCGCTTCAACCACCTGCTTTGCGCTGCGTCCGGGGAAGTGGGGAGGAGACGGGAGGGAGGGAGGAGGCGGGGAGAGGAGGAAAGAGGCAGCTTACACACGCCTTCCAGTCCCTCTACTCAGAGCAGCCCGGAGACCGCTGCCGCCGCTGCCGCTGCTACCACCGCTGCCACCTGAGGAGACCCGCCGCCCCCCCGTCGCCGCCTCCTGCGAGTCCTTCTTAGCACCTGGCGTTTCATGCACATTGCCACTGCCATTATTATTATCATTCCAATACAAGGAAAATAAAAGAAGATACCAGCGAAAAGAACCGCTTACACCTTTCCGAATTACTCAAGTGTCTCCTGGAAACAGAGGGTCGTTGTCCCCGGAGGAGCAGCCGAAGGGCCCGTGGGCTGGTGTTGACCGGGAGGGAGGAGGAGTTGGGGGCATTGCGTGGTGGAAAGTTGCGTGCGGCAGAGAACCGAAGGTGCAGCGCCACAGCCCAGGGGACGGTGTGTCTGGGAGAAGACGCTGCCCCTGCGTCGGGACCCGCCAGCGCGCGGGCACCGCGGGGCCCGGGACGACGCCCCCTCCTGCGGCGTGGACTCCGTCAGTGGCCCACCAAGAAGGAGGAGGAATATGGAATCCAAGGGGGCCAGTTCCTGCCGTCTGCTCTTCTGCCTCTTGATCTCCGCCACCGTCTTCAGGCCAGGTGAGCAAGGGCCTGGGAGCAGCCCCAGACAGACGTGGGCCTGGAGCAGTTTCCTAGGTCCCCGTCCCAGCCTCGCACCCCCGAGGCAGTGCGCCCAGGCGCGTGGTGGAGGTAAGGGGACCGCTGTCCTGGCACAGAGCTGTCCCCGGGCTCGGTCACCTGTGCCGCACGTTTGGGCTTGGCTGGTTAGCTCAAGTTTGGGCATCAAGCTGGGGAAACTGGGTGAATCTCCAGGAACTTGGTGCTCCGGGGTGGGCAGGATTCGCCTGACGCTCTCCCCTTGTCCCTGCGGCTCCCAGCTAGGCGGCGGACTCTTGCCCTCTGACAGTTCCTCCTGTCTCTGGGTATCCAAGTCCACGTCACTGCGCCCCGAGCAGTTTTTCTTTCGCTTAGTTCTCGGATGAAATAACTGCCGGCACTTTTTCGTGATAAATCCCCTAGTAACTTCCCCTTGGTGAGCCGAGGAAGGGATGGGAGGGGTAGAGAAGGAGAGGACTTTAATCACCTCCCCCCGCCCCCCTTGCGAAACCTGCTAAAGCTTAAAATCGTGGTTTCAACGTTACCCCCTGCGGTCCCCGTCCATTGTCTGGGCGGGTGGTGAGTGAAAGGGTGACCGCAGGCAGATAACACAGCCAGAACAGGAATTAGTAGGTAGGCCTGGGAGACACCTCAGTGAGAGGTTTGTGAATTTCCAGGACCTGCTCATAGAGCCTCAGTTCTCAGTTCTGTACTGAGTCTTGGAAGAGAGAGAGAGAGAGAGAGAGAGAGAGAGAGAGAGAGAGAAAAGGCAAAATTCCCAACAACTAAAATATCTCTCGGGAAATCCCTTTCCACACCCTCGGGGACGTCCCCTGGCCCTGGTATCCTCAGGCCCGCCTGGCGGCTGACACAAGTTGTTCTAACAGGGTATTCCGTGCGCTCACAGTTGCCTGACAGAGCAGCAGGTTCCTTTGCTCCCCTAAACTGAAAATTTAGGGGATTTTTTTTTCTTTGAAGTTTTTTTTTTCTATCCCTGCGTAGACAGTTGCCAGTTAAACTCCTACTTCCTGGTATTTTGGCCTGTTTGTTCTTAGCTTTTTCTTTAGCTTTTATCAAAGAAAAATCTCACTTCCTTTTATCCGTGCACATCCCTTCAGCTGTCGGCAAGCTCAGGTCACAGAAGAGGTTTGAAAGCCTCTGAATCTCTCCCAGGAACTGGCGGGGAGAGGGGTTTGGGGGCCAGAGCCTGAGGAAGAGATTACAAGTGTTTGCGAGCTGCTGCTGCTGCTGCCGTTGCTGTGTGTGTGGGCGGGAGGAGTGCCCTCTCCAGATCTCTTTATTAAAGTTACATTTCTGGGTGAGGTAATGAGCTCACCTGATGTTTCTGAGGCTGAGGGAAAAAAAAGGCGTCTGCGTTCTCTGACAAATCTCGGGCTCTGGGGCGGGGACTGTGAAACCATAGTTCAACCGGATTTAAAGCAGGTGTCCTAGTGTAACAACGCTGGGGAGGTAGGTGGAAAGGCGAGACCCCCTTGGGCCTGGCACAGTGTGGATTTCACTTTTTCGAGATTCCACTGTCCGATGGAGGAAAGGACACTTTGGAGCCAGGGAATGAGCCAAGAAGGGAGGACAAGGGTGATGTCGGTTTGTAACATGCAAACGTCCACACGCCCACAGTTGGTTTTCCGATTAACCCCCTCGAGACTTGGAGAATGTAATCTCACCCTCGTCCACACCCCTGACACAGGCACATAACCAGTTTCCTTTTCGGTGCCGTCACAGGCGGGCCACGTCGCAGGATAGGTTTTTCTACACATTTAACTGCTAAAAGGGGGAAAGTTCCGCTTTCAGACCTCCTTCACGGTGGTTCTTTTGGCGCCACAGGCTCGTGTGTCCAGGGGGCACCGAGCTGCGCGCTTTCGGCGAGCGGCTAGCCCCGGCTCACCGCAACCAGCCACCGTGAATCTGAGGATCCGATATCGGCCCTGGACCCTCAGATCCGTGGTTTCGGTGAATTACCGAGCTGGCATTGCCGAAATTCTCATTGCAGTATCAGTGTGTTTTGAAAGGAAAGGTTACAGCACTAAAGGCGCCGTGTCTACACTGAGGAAGCAAGTCTTGGACAGTAAGTGCGCCTTCTTCGGAGCCCTCTGCATAGCAGAGCCCGGTGGGGGCGCGGTGCCAAAGGCCGGCTTCATTTGAGCGGGGTAACTGCCTTCCCTGCCGGCCACTCTTCATTTCCGGAGCAGTTTTAATAGTGTATGTCCAGTTGTAGAGGTCAAAAACTCGAGTTTGTGAAACTGCTTCCCCGGGTCTTTCGGCTTGTAGTCGCTACAAAGTCATTGATATATTTTAGGCGTGCCACGTTACCTGTTTTGAAAGGAGGAGAAAAATATATGAACCACGAAAACTGAATTCAGAGATGAAGGCAATGAAGTGTGTGTTCAACATCCGAGATAGCAATATTCTCGTTATTCTTGTAGAAAGAGCGTCAGCCTGTGGTGACATTTTGTATTGCTTAAAAAAAGAATGCTTTTCTGGATTATTTACAAGGAGATGGGGCGCTGCAGTTAACTCTTTCTTCACTTGGGTCATCTGTATGAACCCCTCTATGGGATTTTTCATAACTACTCACTGATCTCACTGATATAAGATTCATTCTAAGACATAAGCACACATAAAGCTTTCTTCAGTGGGATATTATGTTTGAAACATATCAATTGATCTCAACAGGACTTGGGAAAGCATCAACTCAAATAATGTCCTTTCAAAGACTATTGATGTAGGACTATTGAAATTGATTAATTTAAAAACTAAAAACTGTTTAACAGCCAATATATATATATTTTTTCCTTAAGGATTTATTTAATCCAATAGCAATTTACAATTTAATGGAGCATTATTTGCAGTAAATTGCTTTTCTAGGCTTTCTTCAGGACATCTACCTTCAGGCACTTGAGCAAGTCATTTAACCTTTTTGAGCTTCAGTTTTCTCATACAAAATAAAAAGACAGACTAGAGGCCTACTCTCTGAAATGTCTCCCAGCTCAAAAACTCTTTGTTTCTGAAGTCTTAAGGTAAAAAACCAATTTAGGCAGGCAGAGTCATTTTTCAACACTATTTTTCTAAGGATCTCAGTCTAGACAAAATTCATATAAATTGTATTATTAGAAAAGTATCAGTAGACCCCAATTTCTAATTTCCTTTTTTTTTCTACCTTTAAAAATTCATGATAACATCTATGCTTACTCTTTCCAGCCTTAGTAGGGAAAAAAAAAAGCGTGAAGGAGAGAAATTAGCCTTCCACTCTCCTGGGAAAAGAGGACCCAAAAGTAAGAAAGGATAGTAGGCCTCAGAAAGCCCTGCTAGTGTAACTCATCTCTCCTGCAAACCTGTTCCTATATAAACTGCATACATAGTACCTAGAATGAGATGTAAATTATGGTTTATGCTTAAATATTCATATGACAAAGCCTCATATTGTACATCCTAAAGTTGCTCAAAAAGTTGATTTGCAACATGGTTGTAAATGCAAGACAGAAGGAAATAGAAAATACTAATATTTTTCTATTGTTTTAAAACTTGTAGAAATCCAAAATATCTTGTCTTACCAGATTCCAAACCTTTTCTGACTTTGTAAAAAATTCAAACTAGCTTATCTTTTTTAATAGACATTCAGATGAAAATGCATGTCTACCATTGACTTATCAAAAAGAAGAAAATTAATTAAATAGTCTTGTGTTATTAGAAAAATTGTATATTGTAGTCAGTATTCATGTGTTCAGTTTCTAACTATGTCATGTAAGAATGTTGTGACCTTGGGAAAATTATTTTTCTGCTCTTTTTTATTTCCCATCTGTGAATTTCTTTCTGTGCAATGTGTGGTTCTGATTGTGTTGAGATTAGTAATTCCCTTGCTCAGCATTTCAAATTTTTTAAGTAAAACGTGCTATATTAATTAAGGCTTTTATTATATTGTTAATAGAATAACATTCTTTAATTTATTCCACTTAATTATCACTTTTATCATTTTATTAAAATAATGGAAAGATGTTTCTTTTTTTTTTTCTCTTTTTTCTTTTTCTCCGTCAAATTTTCATGCCACTAACCGTGGGCCTTTGTAAAACTTAGTACCACCTAAGTTGTCAATATTACTTGGTGTAAGATGGCAGCAGTTTGTCAGATAGTATTTTAAATGCTTTATAATCACCATGTTTTACAATTCCAAACACACTTCTTTCTGTTCTGGCCATTTATTTAGCATAAAACACCATCAAAGAGTTCTAGCTCCCTGAAGGTATTCACTCAAGTAGACACATGCAATTTATAGCCCAGATATGCAGAAGATCCACTTAGGTATAGCTATGATAGAAGAATATGTCTCTGTCTCAATGTATACATAGAAACTTAAATGCAATTTCTCACAATGTGTTAATTTTATTCTTCATTGTTAAGTATTCACAGAGGCTAATCTCATTTCTTACACATTATGTGTGTGACACATGTATGTGACATATGAAGAATGAACTAACTTACTGGAATACTAAAGAATGGTTTCTTGGGTGTGGTGGGTGATAACATTTATTTGGTTATTACTTTTGGATTTCAACTCAGTTTATTTTCAATAAGAAATGGAAAAAAATCCATTTATACTTTTGATTACTTTTTTTATTAGGGTAGAATTTTCCTTTCCTTGTGGAGAGTAAATTCAAGACTAAAATAGATATTCTATATTCAGGAAGAGAATATTGCAGGCTGTTTGGTAAGGTTAAATCTAAATCCTACAATTATTATAGTGTCCCTATAGTACGTAAGTCATTACCATATTTTTGGAGTTACTGATATTTTCATGCAGCTAATTTCTCTGCTTAAATAATAAATTTTACATTCTCTTTTCTCCCTTATTATTGAATAGAATACCTTATATATTTCAGATAGGCCTAGTTCCAAATGTGGTATGGTATTCAGTAATTGTTTTATGCTAACCTATTATCATAGCCCATTACTGTAGTCTATGTTCCAAGAATGAAATTAGCTTTTAATGCTTCCTCTCTTATTTATCCAGTCAGTTCTCAATTATCCATTCCATTGAAGGGGAAATCAGAGTTGCGCACAATCCAAAACATCTTCTAACCAAAGGATTACTTAATTTGACTTTGAGTTGAGGTACTTCAATGAACATGTCTATACTTGTCTGGTCTAAGAATTCATAGTACTTCAACACAATGAAACTAAACTGCTGGGGAATAGGTTAATCAGAAATTAGACAGCTGTCCAGCTTCTCTGATTTGCTTCTCTATTACTGTTATTATTGTTTTAGCTCTTTTCTGTATCACTTAAGGAACTGATGCAAAATCTTGGCCCAAGTAAGACTAAAAACATCTATGAGATGAAACTAAACCTTTGCAATCTTCTCAAATCCTATAAATATTATAGACCCTTGATGTTCATTCACAGGAAAACATACTATGACCATGGCAATTGCTGTAGTCTTCTGGCCTTTGCTCAATGACACTTCCACTATGAATAATTTGTTTAGCTCTGCAAAATCACATTTCAAGTTTTAGAAAAATTTTACCCTCACCTGGCCCTTTTTCTTAAGCAAGTTTTTTATTACATCATATGAGTTTCCATGAATAAATGAATAATAAAGCAATACCCTTTTCATGTTATGAGTTGGGTTAGCAGCCAGGTAGGTTGACTCTCCAGTAGGATTTTCACACACCTGCTTTTAGAAAAAAAAATTACTACTTATAATGGATTATGGGGTTACAGTAAACAGTGAAAACCAGTAATATCAAATCCATAAATGTTAGGAAGATTGGAACTTGTAATTAAAAAAGACTTTATTTTTGATTATTTTAACTTATTATGATGATTTCACTAGAGAAGTTAACTGAATTTGTAGATTAAGATATCAACCAGCACTCCAACACAATGTTTTCTTGAGGGAGATAAATCTCAAAGATACTTTCACCTTAGAAATTGATATAAGTAGATTTTTATCCTCTCCATCTGTATAGTTTTAGAGAGAGTCTAGATTACCTTATTTGAACTGTGAATGAAGAAAAAAAAACTTTCCTGTACTTACTTGCCTTTGGTGCAAAATCAACATTGGAATGTTGATAATGACTAAAGTGAGTCTTAACTTTTCCCTTTTCCTTTTCCCTGTACTTGTCTTTGCTGTAGTTTTTACCACATTGTATTATGATATTGGTGACTTTTTTCAGTTGAACATAAATTTTTTGAATACCAAATATCATCTTTGTCTATGTATCCTCAAGTCTAGTTAAGAGCTTGACACCTAGAAGCTGCTTCACATTTTTTCTTTGCATTAAATACAGTAGAAGCAATGCATATGTGGAGAATTAAACTCCATATGGCAGCACCTGACATTCATGCATTACTAAGAAATTTTCTCAAGGAGTTTGGGAGTTGAGGATATAATATTCCTCACTGAGAATTGAACTGGAAAATAAAACCATCATGAAAGAACAGAGTGGGACAGGCTATCAAGACCTGATGGCACTTTAGTAGTATTAATGAAAAACAAAAAGAAAAGAACATGTATATTCGTAAAGGACCTGTGATTAAGGATGAAAAAGACTTTGGTCATTGGAGAAACACAGAAAAAGTAGAGGAGTTGGGCCAAATGTGGTTATTGAAGCTATTATACTTAATGAATCCAAACACTTTCTTTTATGGTGAAAGTAAGTGGCCCCTCTAACTGGCAGACATGACTTGCCCAGTCTCCTTAGCAGGTATAGCTTTTTGTTGAGATAGATAAAACTCATTATAAGAACCTAATTCTGGGGCCAGGCTCAGTGGCTCATACCTATAATCCTAGCACTTTGGGAGGCCGAGGCGGGCGGATCACCTGAGGCCAAGAGTTCGAGACCAGCCTGGCCAATATTGTGTAACTCTGTCTCTATTTTCTTTTTTTCTTAAAAAAGAACGTAATGCTCTGAATATTCAAGTCATATAGTAAACTTTCCCATGGTGGAATTTCATGGTCACTAAGAAATCTTCTAATTATAATGTGATGCTTGTTTTTTGTTTTTGTTTTTGTTTTTGAGACGGTGTCTCGCTCTTGTTACCCAGGCTGGAGTGCAATGGTGCGATCTCTGCTCACTGCAACCTCTGCCTCCCGAGTTCAAGCGATTCTCCTGCCTCAGCCTTCCAAGTAGCTGGAATTACAGGTGCCCACCAGCTCGCCCAGCTAATTTTGTGTATTTTTAGTAGAGACTGGGTTTCACCATGTTGGCCAGGCTGGTCTGGAACTCCTGGCCTCAGGTGATCTACATGCCGCGGCCTCCCAAAGTGCTGGGATTACAGGCATGAGCCACTGCACCGAGCCCAATGTGACTTCTTATATAGCCAGTTTACAGTCAGAGGATGCACTAGCTGGAAGAGAAGCATTGTATTCCCTTGGCAATAATTGCTCTTATGTATACCAATAAGCTGGTTTATGAGTTTGGTTAGTGAGAATTCATCTTTAAAAGATGGGAAAATGTTTGGTAAGCAGCCAAAAGAAGCTTCTAAGTTTTCAGGGTTGAAACCTACACATTGAACCCTTCCAAATTCAGCTTGTTTGTGGTACAATCAGCTAACCATTCCCCAGGTGACACCTATGGTGTCATTTGTTGTCAACTTGTGTGTTACCTATTATAGACATTTATTTTCTTTCTTGTATATCTTTTGGTGCTATCTTGCTTAATATGCATATTATTAGTAGGTTGACCATTCATTCATCTTGGTATACCTAAGACTGTCCTGGTTTATGCCTCATGAGCTGGTACAATTATTAATGGCATCCTTTTTCATTTTCAGAAGTGCATTTTGCATAACATATCATACAGGCTCCACAATAATTTGTAACTTGTCTTTATGTCTTGGAGTACTTCACTGTGATAAATGCACTCTTCATCCTAACCAAGTGCATATTTTTAACCCATTTAAATTTAATTATCAGCTACAGTGAAATATCATTAATGGGTTATATGCCCCTTTCATGTCAGGTATAAGAAAGAAAGATGTGAGGTTGTAGCCTCTAGAATTCCAGAATGTTGTGGATATGAAACATTGAGGATCCTATGGTTTGGAATGGAAACTAAATTGACCTCAGATGCCAAGGGAATAATTTTGTTTGAAATTCACCTGGGAGCTACACTTAGCTACGGGGTTATTTAGGGAAGAACTATTTCAGTATGAGCATGAATTCCTTTTGCAGCAAATTGTACAACTCCCATTCTGTTCTTCTATGAGATTTCTCAGTAATCACACTACCAATTTTTTTCTTAAAAAAACCAGGGATGTTGAAGGAAGCCCCAGCATTCTTCTGTACATGCAAACTAAGTTGTATCAGTCAGAAAAGGCGACCTGATGTGGCCACCAACAGTATGGCTAGGATACGGTTGTAGTCAAGGGTGTGACAACAGCAAAGACGCTTATCGCGGAAACTTTGACCCTGTATTAACAATTTTCACCTTCTAGATCCTTGGGCAAAACATACGGCCTTTTGAGAGGCTCAAGCAGTGTTGAATAAGAATACTTTCACTTAGAGCGAAAACCTTAACTCTCTCCAGAGTTAAATTATGGAAAGTTCAGTGTGTGTGAGTTTGTGTGTGTTGGGGGCTGGAGAGGAGAGAGAAAGACAGAGACAGAGAGAGAGAGAGAATGAATTCTGAAGGATTAGAGGCATGGAATTTATTGTCACAAGTTAAAATATGGTAAAAGAAGGGTTGTTGGAAAAATGAGAATGTTCTTTTGATGTTCTTTTTGTTTAGCCCCCCATTTGAGAGCTGAAATAAATGAAACCACAGGTTTAAGAGATTACCTAAAATCCAGTAGCAAATTAACCACAATTCCTAGTGACATGTTTTCAGTTTCATTTGCGCCTAAACTCATAGATTAAAGGTTTTGACCTGTAAAGAACCTAAAAATTAATTAACTACTTGACTAAGGTCACATTGTTGGCCAATCCAGAACTAAAACTCATGTCAATTGATCATTCAGCATATATAACAGCTTTCAACAAATATTAATGGAGTGCTCAGTATGTACTACACATTGTGCTTGAGGATATGGAAATAAACTAATTACTATACATTCAAGATCCTATCACTCAAAGATGTTATGTTCTCTCAGGGAAACAGATATCAATTAATTAACTATATAACTATTTGCTAGAAATTTTGGTAAATGTCACAAGAACAATGAACAGCATTTTACAACAAAGGGGCCAGATCTAGTCTGGGATTTAAGAGAAACTCAGAAAACGTCTAGCAGGAAGTGATATCTGAGCTACGTGCTGAGGAATAATCTAGCAAAGGATGTAGGCTGAGGAAATAACATGACTGAGGATGCTAAGGTGGTAAGAAACATGGTTTCTAACTCCTGGAGGTGAAAATGTGCCTATCCCTTTTCATGAAAACTAAAGAAGTTTTGAAGGTTGAGGCAAAAACCAAGGATTCCTTGAAGTTGTTCAAATACTTTCCTGCAATCTCCCTAATTGACTTGCCAGTTGTGGGATCTACAAAAGGATGTCTTTGTCTTATTGAAATATTCACATATTAGTAAATATTTGTATGTATACCTCCCTACTTAAAAAATAAAGTGGAAACATACCATATACATCATTTTGTACCTTTCCTTTTTCATTTAACAGTACATTTTGGAGATTAAAAAATTGTCTCATAGCAGCACCTATAGCTCTACCTCATTTTTAAAAAGTGTGCATTGGATTTTACTGTACTATCATCATTAATGTAACCATTTCACAAGTTCCTGGAAGTTTAGGTTGTTTCCAATCTTTCGTTATTACAAACTAGAGCAGTGAACATCCTAATCATGTTATTGTCCATATAAGCAATTGGTGGCAGTTGTTGGTAAAATGTCTTGGAAGTGAAGTTACTGAGTCAACGATGTGTTTTTCATTTAGAAAGAAATTGTAAAATTACTGCTCAAAGAGTACACATCTTTAAAAAAATCCCAACAAAAGTAAGATAATGCCTTTCTTAAACTCTCTTCATAAATCTGTACTATTACATTCCTCTTTTTAACCAGTATCATAAGTTGGTTTTCATTTATTTAAAGCTTATTGGAAAAGTTAGAATTATAGGAGTAGTAGGCATATACACTCACATACAAGGCAAAACCTATATTGGTGCCTAACTTTATTATACATGAGATTGGGCCAGAAATGGGAAAAGACAGGTATTTACCATGAATTTTTATTATTGTTCTTTCTACATAAGATTGCTAACTTTTAGAACATAAACTGTATAATTATAAGCCATAACCTCTTCCATTTTGTAAAATTAATACTCTGTACAATCAGGATTAAGAGACAGCCACATTTGAGCCATAAGTGAATTTAATACTGCTTTTCAACACAAAGAAATGGTTTCCAAATATTTGTATTAGTTCGTTGTAGGTACAGTATACATTTTATGGGTGGTCTGACTAATGCCACTTTGTAAACCCTGTATAATAGTCATTACTAAACAAACTTCAGTTATTTTTAAGTAAATCATATTTCGAACAATTATTCCAACAAGTTTAAGCCTTAAGTAAATCATCTTTTGAACAATTCTTCCAACAAAGCTTGTCAGAATTTTGTATAAACTGATAAAAAGTACAATATTTTACAAATTTTTTTAAAAATCAGTGCCACTAAATATTTTTCACCTGTAATTTTTTAACCCATTAAGGAAAGTAGGAATAAAATCTATTTTAGTCACTTTTACATAGAAAATAGCAGGATATATATATATAGTTTTGAAAAATTATATGCCGAAAGTAATATTTTTAAACAAATGATAAATATTCATAATGGAGGTAATGTTTGTATGCACATACTGTAATTTAATGAGTAAAGCAGTTTCTGCCTGGTATTTAGTTTAGATGTTCAAATCTGGGGCACTTATACTTTATTCTGCAAGCATTTTCCCTACCTGGTGATAGGTACAACACTTTCTAAGAAGAATGTTTATGGTGATTTTAAGGTATAGGTTTTATATTTTTGCAGAGATGGTCATGGATCTAAGTATGAATAACAGTTTTGATATCAGATCTAAGAGTAAAATGTAATTTATATTTGGATTTACTCCATTACATAAATCCCCTGTTCCACCCAGCCTCAATGGATACTGGCTAGTTCTCAAATAGTTTTTTTTTTTTTTTTGAGAAATGCTTGTTTAGTATAAGATTAAATAGCTTCTCTGATCATACTAGAATGGCAAATACGTATCTGTTTATTAAAACAAAACCTTTATCCACTCAGCTGTTTTCCTCTTTGCTGTTAGAAAATGCCACCTTTCTAAAAGAGATTATAAAATAGTAAAAAAGGAGTAGGGTTTCAGGGTATGGTTTGGAGGTTATCATTTTCTAGAATCCATCCAAAGTGTTTGGTTAGAAATGATTTGAACTGCTTGAGTAGTGATTTGATGGTAGGCAGTATGGCCGTATCTCCACGGTATAAGAAGACTATTCTCCAGGCTTGATCTTCATGAACTGTCTATGCTCAGAGACTCCAGACTGAAATCTGCATAGCATAGATTTCTTTATATAACAGCTCAAGAGCTTGGGCTATGGATCAGAGCATGAGTTTGCTTTCTAGCTTTTGTCTGTTTTTTCATTTGTTAATTGAGGATAGCAGCCAAGTTCATTTGGTAGGAATATTCAAGAAGGTAATGAATTTATATTATGTTTGTCAGTGCCTAGCACATTGTAGACACTCAACCAAATAATAATCATTATGAATCACATTTTTCAGTAACCTAATAATATCAGTTATTCACATCAGAAAAACTTGTGAAATACTTCATTTTACTGATTGAGAAATATTTCAGTTCCATCTGAATACATTTTGGGCTTCCATAACTAAACTGAAAAGTATATTTTATTAGAATGTTTCATAATCTCAATGAATGTCAAGTAACCTTTCAGTTTTATCATCTCAGGAAAAACAAAAGAACATAATTGAAAATTATAGCTTTAAAATGTAATTTTCCACAAAAAAAAGAGAAAAAAACACGTGTTAAAATTATAAAGACATATGTAATGCACTATATTATTCTCAGAAATTGACATTATTATATGTGTTTCTGTAATTTGAAAATATTAGAACTTAGAAAGAAAAATTTCCGATTGTTACAATGCTGTCATTTTGATAATAAAATTATGATTTTAAATACATTATTTCTCAAGTGTAATTCAATAGAGGGAGCTCCACTGCTTCCCTTTTATGAGCACTGTAGGATGCTTCCATTTATTATGATTTTCCAATGACCTCTAATTTAATAGTGAACATTATTAAAAACCTATAATTTTAATATTAAGGATATTTTGGAAAGTGAATAGTATCCTCTTTCTATTCATATAATTCAAAAAATGCTTCCACAAATAATATGTGTTTTAAAGCCCCAGTTCTTAGTTCTTTGTACCTTTTGCATAATAACTCACTAGACATGATTAAAGTAGGTATACTCTTGAGAAACATACTTTAATACACCAAGGCATCAAAAGAGAAAAAAGTTCATTTCTAGTGATAAAATAATGCATGTTTTCATATTAATTTTGTGGTAGCTATTAAGTTAAAACTGTTATATATTTGAATAGTAGACAAAATCTTTTAAAATTACTCTGCCTAGATTTTTAACCAAATGGTTACAGATTTCCACATGGAAATGGTCTTCTTCCTTTTTTATTTTCTCATATATTCCCTTGATTTAGGTAATCCCAAATTGTATTTTCAAGCTAAATTGATATTCATCATCTTATCTATTATTACTTTACCTTTTAATTTTGTTATGATGAAAGAAGTTGTTGGGTTGATTTTGTTCAAAAATTTATAATTTTGTCAAAAATCCACTAACATGGTTAAAAAATTTAAATGGTTTCAATTTTATAAGACATCTCCTAAGATGTTTCTACATAAGGGAGTTATCCACTCTGTGTGTGACCCTGACAATTCATTTACCTTTTATGAGGTTCATTTTTCTCATGGAAGTATTGTACCATGTGATTTCTTCACAGCTCAAAAATTCTAAGATTCAAAACTATATTTTGATTTAGAAGAAGAATATGCACGCGCACTTGTATGTTTGAGTCAGTGTTGAGCAATAATTTTACCTGAAGTCTAATTAAGGAAAAAAAATTCAATGATGGGCCTCATTTTTAAATTTGAAATGGAAATGATTTTATTACATTCTATAGAAAATTGTATAATATCACACATTAGACCTCCTAATTTATTACTAAAATTATATCAGTAAATGAAATCGTCCAATTCTCTGGTATATTTAAGAATTGTCAACACAGAAACAGATTTAAAAATCTCATATTGAAATTAGATTATCTGTCACGACGGCCATACTGGGAAAGGAGCTTTGTGATAAAGGCCTGTGGGTTCTTCATCACAGTTTTAACAAATCACAATTTAAAATACCTTTTAAAGTAAGTGCCCATTTTATTGTGCTTACTTTCCATTATAGATCAGAGTTTGAGAATATGGTGTCTGTAGCCAAATTGTTTAGTTTTGAAACCTGTGTCTCCTTTCTCCAGTTTCCCAGTTGGGTGGCATTGGGGAAGTTGCTTAAACCCTCTTCTGTCCTAATCTATGCAATGGGAATAATAGCACCTATCTTGTAGGATAGCTGTGAAAGTTAAATGAATTAATACACATAAAGTTCATTAAACAGTGTGGTTGTCAGTAGTAAGCTCTTAAGAGGTGTTAGTATTATTCAAGTATTTAAATAAATTAAATCTCAGTTAATCTTTCCCACTTCCCCAAAATACGATTATACACCCAACTGATTCACATAGATATTATACATAAAGAAGAGAGGCCACAGGTTCAGAATTATAAAATTGCCAGCTGTAGCTCCTCTCCACTCTACCTTTCTTTCCACTCAAAAAAGAGAATCTGAATGAGAGTGATGTCATGTTTTTATGGGGCGTAACCTTGAATCTACTCACTCTGTAAAACAAATAAACCATTCACAAACTCCAAGACTTTATCCATTAATTGTTAGTATCATATTCATTATGTCATAGTTCCCATCTGTTAATGAAACATCATTGCATTGCAATCTTGAGGTTGAAATATAAATTTAAAAGTGAATTTGAAGCTAAAAATGAGATGCTTTGCAGCCTATAGTTTACAGTGTCTAAAAGCAATTGTTTTAGGTCATTAGTGTAAGTAGGCCATAGGTAACTTAGGAGTATACAAGTGACTGTGCTCGAAAGACATTTATGTAGACTCTGTAGATTCAGAGTCTACACAATAATAAAATAGGGCCCAGTGATCATATTTTAAGAAACCAAAAGAAGTAAACATTTTCTAACATATTTCTCAAACTTTAGTCCCTTCTAATCTTTTCTCCCCTCTGCCATCAGAGTGATGTAAGATCTGAATCAACTCTTTTTTTTATTGTCATATTTTATTTTACTTTATTTTTTTATTTATTTTTTCTTTTTTATTATTATTATTATACTTTAAGTTTTAGGGTACATGTGCACAATGTGCAGGTTAGTTACATATGCATACATGTGCCATGCTGGTGTGCTGCACCCATTAACTCGTCATTTAGCATTAGGTATGTCTCCTAATGCTATCCCTCCCCCCTCCCCCAACCCCACAACAGTCCCCAGAGTGTGATCTTCCCCTTCCTGTGTCCATGTGTTCTCATTGTTCAATTCCCATCTATGAGTGAGAACATGCAGTGTTTGGTTTTTTGTCCTTGCCATAGTTTACTGAGAATGATGATTTCCAATTTCATCCATGTCCCTACAAAGGACATGAATTCATCATTTTTTATGGCTGCATAGTATTCCATGGTGTATATGTGCCACATTTTCTTAATCCAGTCTATCATTGTTGGACATTTGGGTTCTTTCCAAGTCTTTGCTCTTGTGAATAGTGCCACAATAAACATACATGTGCATGTGTCTTTATAGCAGCATGATTTATAGTCCTTTGGGTATATACCCAGTAATGGGATGGCTGGGTCAAATGGTATTTCTAGTTCTAGATACCTGAGGACTCCCCACACTGACTTCCACAATGGTTGAACTAGTTTACAGTCCCACCAACAGTGTAAAAGTGTTCCTATTTCTCCACATCCTCTCCAGCACCTGTTGTTTCCTGACTTTTTAATGATTGCCATTCTAACTGGTGTGAGATGGTATCTCATTGTGGTTTTGATTTGCATTTCTCTGATGGCCAGTGATGATGAGCATTTTTTCATGTGTCTCTTGCCTGCATAAATGTCTTCTTTTGAGAACTGTCTGTTCATATCCTTTGCCCACTTTTTGATGGGGTTGTTTGTTTTTTTCTTGTAAATTTGTTGGAATTCATTGTAGATTCTGGATATTAGCCCTTTGTCAGATGAATCAACTCTTATAACTGCTCTGCTTCAAATACTTCGGACACTTCCCAATATAGTCAGGGTAAAATAGTAACTTCTTAATATAGCATTTAAAGTTTTTCTTACATTTCTCAGAACAATTTTTCTTGGAATTCCATGTGCTAGCCATATTTCTAAATGTGCCATGCCCTTCCTGCTTCCTGAGTGGGTTGTTATTCACGTCTCTGTCTTATTCAAGAACACCCTTTGCTTCACACCCTCTCAATCACCCTTTCTTTGCCTGAATAACGTGTATCCCTATCCTTCAGAACACAGTTTATATGCCATCACCTCCAGAAATTCTTCCCTGATCTCTCTAAGGTGCCTGTCCTCTGTAGTTCCAGAGTTCATTTCATGTATTGCCTATTCATTCTTCTCTCTCTCCCTTAGTGAATTTTTATATTCCTGGAGGCAGGAGCTGTGTCTACTTAATCTTTTTTCTACCCAGCGTCTACTGATACATGGTACATTTTCGGTACACACCCATGATGATTGAATAAATGCATTAGTCAAAATTAGATTTCTTAGTCTACTGATACATAGAACTTTCTCAGTACATACATGACAATTGAATAAAGGCATTAGTCAAAATTACATTTCATAATTATCAATGAAGCCTATTTTAAACAACAACATATAATGTTGTATGAATAAGAAATATCTACATTGAGAAAATTGTTCAATTTCTTTTAAAAATTGAGGGAATGACAACTCTCCTAAAATATGGTCCTAAAAAGAATTTGCCTTATTCTACCCATGCTATGCAAATTGAGTGCTAAAACAAATGGAATAAAGTTAGATTTCTTCTGAGTGCCAATCCAAGTTAACATAAGTACTCTTCTTGAGTTTCCATATTGAACATAGTCTGTTCATTAAATGTGAGATCATCCTGAGAATTATAGAAATTTATTTAAACTAATTTATTTTAAAAACTGTAGGTTTGTGAAGATACTAAAACTACTTTTTCTCCCACAGGATAATTGTAGACATACATTCAAAATAGAAGTAAATTAATGGTAATATTAGTTCTTCTATTTTTAATTAATAGATTAAACCTTTGGATCACGGCATTTCTCATAATCTAGCAGAAATAATATAGAAAAGACTTCATAAGCAGATTGATCAGTCACGCAGGCAGTATTTAACATATTTGTACCACTGAAAATACATCTGTACTGTGGACCATGTCTTGGATGCTTTTGAGAGTAAAATATTAGAGAAAATTTGGAGAAAATCTGGTTTTATTTTTACAAAACTATTGACTATTGAAAGAGAACTTTAAAATTCAGTCACTAACTTAACAAAATTATATAAATTTGAATGATGTTTCATTTTTACTGAAAAATAAACCTTGTGCTCTTGAAACCAACATATCATTTTGAGAAATAAGTCTTTACTGATAAAAACAGTGCAGAATTGGATTTATCACAGATCTCATTATTCAATGGTACTTAATAGCTGAGAACTTAATAGTTTTAAGTCTGGTGTCACTTCTCTGGACAAAATAATCTTAAATTCTTATAATCTTTCAACTTAAGTCCTTTTTTTATAAGCTTTGTTTTATTTCCTTACTTTACTTTTGATCCTTCCCAGTCCTTCAGAATTTTAACTTCTATATCATGGTTTTACTCTGCCAATTCCCATATTACCTTCCCAATTTACCTTGTTAGTAAATTTTTACTTCTTTGGTCTCTGAGGCAAGCTGTCTTCTGAATTCTTGCCCAGAAATTCTAAGACTTTTCTAATATATTATTAAAAATACTTGTCCAGATAAACCAATATAAATACAACACATTACCACTGATAACTCTCGTTTATTAAATACCTGCTGTACTCCATGTAAAATAGTACTTTACGAAAGAATGGCTAATATATTTGTATAACCAATTTTAAGTTTAAAAACTGTGACTCTTTTTTAATTTTTTAAATTATAAATTGTAATCTCACTTTCAGCCTTTTAAATATAGGACTTTGAATGCAGTATAGTTTATGTATCAAGAAGTAGCCAGAGCAAAGACATTATCAAATAAAGCCAAGTAAACAAGACTTTCTCTTTGTTGAAATATATAAACCTAATTGGGCCATATCAGTGATCAGTTAAGATTCTGGATTAATCAAAGAGGCTACATGACAATTTTTTAAAAAATCTTTTCTATTACTTGAAAAAATGTCACCCATTTCTAAGACAAATACTGTCTAGTTCCTGGATTCTTGGCATGTAATCTAGGCTTCACGTTCTTGATGTTGTCACCCAACAAAATAATCTTTCCACAAACATATAAAAATATATGGAGTTCTCAATTTTCCATGGAAATAGAATCTAGGGTTAATGTGGTGAAATAATTTTCATTATTAACAAGCCTTATTTTAGTATATGTAAATAGGATTAGATTGAAAAGCCAAGTTTTATAGTAAAAGATGTGATTTCTGTAAAAGAGAGTATTCTGTAAAAGCTGGAGGACAAGTGAAGCTTAAAGGAGCAGCTTGTACTGATGAGAAAGGGGAGAGGAATGAGTGGACCTCTCTTCAGAGAGGAAAGAAAGATAAGATGAAAAGCCAGCATGAAAAGGAACTTGCTATTTAAAATTACAACAAACTGTTTATGTGGACCAGTAGCATCATGATGTAAAATAAATTTTCTTTACTGCTTTGCCATGACGCTTAATTGATAATACATTCTAGTAAGCCCAAATTTGAATCTCTTCTCGATAACTAACATTCAGTTAATTTCTTATTTCGAAGTGGGAAGAGCAATGGCTGGAAAGAAACTTCCTACAGAGAAATTCTGATGCAAATATGTCTTGAAATCCAGAGCATTTTGGTCCAAATTTAACAATGTGTGTCAAATTTTACAACAGCAGATGTGAATTTATGGTTCTTTATTAAGTTTTAGGAATTCTGAATTGTATTTGTCTGCTTAATTCTATAGTGAAACTAAAGCTCAGTTAAATAGTCTAAAGAATGTTACTTAATAGTAAAATTACATAAATATGCCATGCACATGTTGGCTTTCAACAGAGTGCATTTGAATATATTCAGATCTGTGGTGGGTGCTGAAGACTTGTCTATATAGGTTCAGTTCCATAACTGAACCAGTGAGAATCTAGAAAACCAGTGTTTTCAAAACTACTCCCTCATGGGTGAATGGAGCACATACTATTGAATGATCTGCTCTAAACTTAGGCATTGGTGGGCCTGAAATAAGACTTGGGCAGTGAGCATCTGCTTCTCTTCACCCAAAGAGTTGACCTTCCAAGACTATAGAGGAAGTTAAAATTAAGAAATGAGTATAAGAGAGACACAAGTAGGTGACTTCTCAAATTCTGAAAAGGGAAGTTTGGGTAAACAAATCTGAAGGAAGAAGAAATTAATATTAGAAAAGCAGAGTTAGGAAGACAGAAGTGAATCAGTAAAATGTCTTTTGTTAGAACAGGTGCTTCTACATCTGTTTTGAATCAACTGCACAATGGTTTATGCATGGGCCAACTGAATAGAAATACTCAAGGCTGGCATAAATGGATTTGGTTCCAGTTACAGATTTCTTTGTTTTGTTTTGTTTTCAAAAATAGAGCCCAATTAAATCCATCCTCATTGGTTGTAGACATTACCCTAAATGTCTAGTGTGTGCAAATGTTTCTCTATACCCTACCTTCCTATCCCTATTCCCCATGGGTCCCTAGCATTAGACCCTGCTTCCTGACAGTCTAGACTTGGGCTTGTCATTATACCACCATAAATTAGACCCTGCTTCCTGACAGTCTAGACTTGGGCTTGTCATTATACCACCATAAATATATATATATATATCTGTAATTGTTTCCTTAGTGAATTGAAGGTTTTTTCATTTAAAATTAAATTTGTGTGGAAAGTATATTCTTTCCCATCAAGTTAGGAATATTTAAAAGAAGTATACATGTTAGATGCAAAGCGCTAATTCAGGAATGACCAGATAACTAGTATCATTATATTCTTTTTCCAAGTATATTCCCCAATGTTTGGAATGCTGTTCTTTTGATCTTAACTCTTTCATCTGAAAGCACCCATCAAAGGTTACATGAGCAAATTACCCAATAAATGTTATTTTTCCAATAGTTTCAGCCTCACCCTACTTAAAATTATATTGAATGTTCGTGACAGTTCAAATTGACAAATTTTCAGTTTGCCTCTTCTTTTTACCCCACGTTATTCTCCAAATAGAAATCTTGAGATTTTTTCCACAAGATAAATCTTTAGAATAACTGAGGACTAATTATATGTTCCACAGCAGTCTGTAGTAGTCTCACAGGCTGAGCGTCCAAATGAGGTTGCTGCTATAGGGAAGGGCAGGCGGAAATAGAAATAAAATAAATAATCCTTCCCACCCTCACACACACACACACACACTCACACACACAATCAAGAAACCATCAAACAAAGCTCAGAAACATTTCAAACATAAGATCATCTTTTACTTTACTTTTTTGTTGCATGTTTACTTTGCCTTCTGGAAATATTGCACAATCTATTAGCTTTTTCTCTTTAGATGTTTGAAGGATACAGAAGGTACTACTAACTTAAAAAAAAAAACATTGATTCTCACAGCAGAACCTGTGTGTACTTGTTCACTACATACCTACATTGTTAAATATAGTTGCTTCACAAACAATACAATAAGAAAGAATTTAAGAAAACAGATTCTATGTAAATAGTCTGCGTCACTAACTCTATTATTTAGTGATTAAACGGAAAAATATTTAGTATTGAGTGTTGGTTCATCATTGTTGAATCAGTAACGGTTACCAGGATCATTGTCAAGTTAATAATTGAGACCAGGAACTTCCTTCTTGCTGAGGGCTTTTAGTAGTGATCAGTGGCAGAGGGATATGAAAGGCTGGAGAAGAAAACAGGAGACCCAGTCCTGCCTTTACCAGCAGCCCTGAGATTTTGGTTAATCACTTCATATTTCTGTTCTGCTTCTTTGCTTATACAATGACATTAGGCTACAGCTGAGTGGGCTCCCTTCCGTGTGGTTGTGAGACTTTATTCTACTGCCAAATAAAAATAATATTTGCATTATCTCTTTTTTTAATATTTGCACTTTTTTGTTCTCATCAGTATCCATAATGAAGCACTAAGCATGTAACATTTTGCAGATTGAGATTTCCCAGTCACCATGCACCATAAATAAAATAATTGAGACATAGGAATAAAAATGCATTACAGTATAAACAAGCAGTAACAGAGTGTGGAAAATAAAAAGACAAGGAAGTACAACCTCTCCTCTGTTTAACACTGAACAAAATTTTTGGGAGAGTATAATGTTATATTTATAAATAGAGCAATTAGATTTGGTTCAGAGAAAAGAAAATGATTAAACCTATAGAATACAGTTGTTGTAAAGAAGGGAAAAGACCTGGAGAAGGAAGAAGTAAAAGGTGAATTAATAGCTGTGATGAGAACACTGATCCATGATTCTTCATCTCCACAGACGACTGTCCCACAACAAAAACAAAACAGCATGCAATTGCTGAAGGAAAAAGCTAGTTCCTCAAATTTGAAATGCTACTTTTGAGGAAGACTCAGGGACTTCTACCTCTTAGAGTATTACAAAATGTTATACATATACCATACTCCAAGCAGAGATGTTCTGCTGTCTCTTTAAACTTAGTTTAGTATAAAAGGATGGTAAATTTGGTGATAAATTTAGTAATAAATGCAACATTTTTCTTATCTGTAACTTAATAGGAATAAACTAATTTAAGATTCCTTCTGTTTCAAATTCTTTATGATTTTTTATTTTGGGGATGTTGGACTTGAAGCTTCACTAAATATTCGGTTATAGAAATACTTTTCTAGGAAAACTTATTAGGGTTAAGAAACCAGATATTTTTCTTTTAAAAAATATGTAATTCATATATTTTGAACTTAATAATTAGATTCCAAATGGTCCTAATCACACCCTGTGGATCTTTAGCTCTTGAGGATTCAAAACTATGAGATTTTACAATCACGTTTTAGATAGTAAAGATTGAATGAGTATGTTAAGGCTTTCATGAAAGAAAAATGGAAGAAAGAATAATTGAAACAAGTAACTTAAGTGGTGGGCAAGTAAAATCTGTAAGCCAATTTCTTTGTCTGTAAAATGAGGAGAATAATAGTATTTATATGAATTCTTTGTTGAATGAACAAAGTGAGATAATTTTTGGAAAATGATGAGCAAAGTGAATGGCAAGTAGAACAGACTTCAGAAATGTTAGCTATTTATTATTTACACAAGAAAAGTGGAAGGTATGGTGTACTAAATATGACAAATATGACACATTCAAACAGAAAAGAGGAAAAAATTTCTGTTATGTAGAAAATTATCCCACTACAATTTTCTTTATCCTTATTTATTAAAAATACGGGATGAAAGTAAGAAAGAAAGATACGCAAAACAGTGTGTGGTATGTTTGCTTAAAACGGAATGTGTTTTGAAACACACAAAACCATATACCTACTTGTATGCTCATATATACATAGTTTTTTTTTTTTTTTTTTTTTTTTTTTCTAAAAAACACACAGGAACCTTAATAATGGGCTTCTCTGAAAGGGAGGCCTGCGAATATGAGATAGGAGGGAAGCCTTCTTATTTTTTAAGTATATGCTTTATCTGATTTGAATATTTATAATGTGTACATTATTTTAAAATAAACTACTAGTGCAAAATTAGTATTATTTTTTATTTTTTACATTTAATTTTATTTTAAGTTCCAGGATACATGTGCAGGATGTGCAGATTTGTTAAATAGGTAAATGTGTGGCATGGTGATTTGCTGCACCTATCAACACATCATCTAGGTATTAAGTCTTGCATGCATTAGCTGTTTATCCTGATTCTGTCCCTCCCCCCTACCCCCTCAACAGGTCCCATTGTGTGTTGTCCCCCTCCCTGTGTCCATGTGTTCTTATTGTTCAGCTCCCACTTTTAAGTAAGAACATGTGATGTTTGGCTTTCTGTTCCTGCATTACTTTCCTAAGGATAATGGCTTCCCACTTCATCCATGTCCCTGCAAAAGACATTATCTCATTCCTTTTTATGGCTGCATAGTATTCCATTGTATGTATGTACCACATTTTCTTTATCCAGCCTATCATTGATAGGCATTTAGGTTGATTCCATGTCTTTGCTACTGTGAATAGTGCTGCAATGATCATACCTGTGCATGTATCTTTATAAACAGAATGATGTCTATTCCCGTGGGTGTATACCCAGTAATGGGATGGCTGGGTCAAATGGTATTTATGGTTCTAGGTCTGAGAGGAATCACCACACTGTCTTCCACAATGATTGAACTAATTTACATTACCACCAACAGTGTAAAAGCATTCCTATTTCTCCATAGCCTTGCCAGCATCTGCAGCATCTGTTGTTTCTTGATTTTTTAATAATCGCCATTCTGACTGGGATGAAATGGTATCTCATTGTGGTTTTGATTTGCATTTCTCTAATGATTAGTGACTTTGAGCTTTGTTTATATATGTTTGTTGGCTGCATAAATGTCTTCTTTTGAGAACTATCTCTTCATATCCTTTGCCCACTTTTTAATGGGGTTGTTGGGTTTTTTTCTTGTAAATTTCTTTAAGTTCCTTGCAGACCCTGGATATTAGACATTTGTCAGATGGATAGATTGCAAAAATTTTCTCCCATTCTGTAGGTTGCCTGTTCACTCTGATAATAGTTTCTTTGCTGTGCAGAAGCTGTTCAGTTTACTTAGATCCCATTTGTCAATTTTTGCCTTTGTTGCCACTGCTTTTGATGTTTTGTCATGAAATCTTTGCCCATGCCTATGTCCTGAATGGTATTGCCTAGATTTTCTTCTAGGGTTTTTGTAGTTTTGTGTTTTACATTTAATGCTTTATCATCTTGAGTTAATTTTGTCTGATGTATAAGGAAGGGGTCCAGTTTTAATTTTCTGCGTATGGCTAGCCAGTTTTCCCAGCACCATTTATTAAATAAGGAATCCTTTCCTCATTGTTTGTTTTTGTCAGGTTTGTCGAAGAGCAGATGGTTGTAGATGTGTGGTGTTATTTCTGAGGCTTCTGTTCTGTTCCATTGGTCTATGTATCTATTTTGGTACCTGTACCATGCTGTTTTGCTTACTGTAGCCTTGTAGTGTAGTTTGAAGTCAAGCAGCATGATGCCTCCAGCTTTGTTCTTTTTGCTTAGGATTATCTTGGCTATATGGGCACTTTTTTGGTTCCATATGAAGTTTAAAGTAGTTTTTTTCTAATTCTGTGAAGAAAGTCAGTGGTAGCTTGATGGTAATAGCATTGAATCTACAAATTACTTTGGGCGGTATGGCCATTTTCACTATACTGATTCTTCCTATCCATGAGCATGGAATGTTTTTCCATTTGTTTGCGTCCTTTCTTATTTCCTTGAGAAGTGGTTTGTAGTTGTCCTTGAAGAGGTCCTTCACATCCCTTGTGTGTTGTATTCCTAGGTATTTTACTCTCTTTGTAGAAATTGTGAATGGGAGTTCATTCATGATTTGGTTCTCTGCTTGTCTATTGTTGGTGTATAGGAATGCTGCTTATTTTTGTACATTGATTTTGTATCCTGAGACTTTGCTGAGGTTGCTTATCAGCTTTGGGGCTAAGATGATGGAGTTTTCTAGATATAGGATCATGTCATCTGCAAAGAGAGACAGTTTTACTTCCTCTCTTCCTATTTGAATATCTTTTATTTCTTTCTCTTGCCTGATTTCCCTGGCCAGAACTTCCAGTACTATGTTGAATAGGAGTGGTGAGAGAGGGCATCCTTATATTGTGTCGGTTTTCAAGGGGAATGCTTCCAGCTTTTGCCCATTCAGTGGGATATTGGCTATGGGTTTGTGATAAATGGCTCTTATTATTTTGAAGTATGTTCCTTCAATACCTGATTTATTGAAGGGATGCTGAATTTTATCAAAGGCTTTCTCTGCATCTATTGAGATAATTATTGTGGTTTTTTTCCTTTAGTTCTGTTTATGTGATGAATTACATTGATTGTTTTATGTATGTTGAACCAGCCTTGCATCTGGGGATGAAGCCAACTTGATTGTGGTGGATAAGCTTTTTGATGTGCTGCTGGATCAGTATGCCAGTGTTTTATTGATGATTTTTACATCAGTGTTCTTCAGGGATATTGGCCTGAAGTTTTCCTCTTTTGTATTTCTGCCAGGTTTTGGTATCACGATAATGCTGGTCTCACAAAATGAGTTAGGAAGAAGTCCCTGTCTTTCAGTTTTTGGAATAGTTTCAGAAGAAATGGTATCAGCTCCTCTTTGTACCTTCAGTAGAATTCAGCTGTAAATCCTTCTGGTCCTGGTCTTTTTTTTTGTTTGGTAGGCTATTTATTGCTGCCTCAATTTCAGAACTTACTATTGGTCTATTCAGGGATTCCACTTCTTCCTGGTTTAGTCTTGGGGTGGTGTATGTATCCAAGAATTTTTCCTTTTCTTCTAGATTTTCTAGTTTATTTGCATAACGGTGTTTATTGTATTCTCTGATCGTTGTTTGTATTTCTGTGGGTTCAGTGGTGATATCTCCTTTATCATTTTTTATTATGTCTGTTTGATTGTTCTCTCTTTTTTTCTTTATTAGTCTAGCTAGCAGGCTATTTTATTATTATAATTATTATTTAAAAAAAATAGCTCGTAGATTCATTGATTTTTTTGAAGGGTTTTTTTATGCCTCTATCTCCTTTAATTCTGCTCTGATCTTGTTTATTTCTTGCCTTCTGCTAGTTTCTGGGTTTGTTTGCTTTGGGTTCTCCAATTCTTTCAGTTGTGATGTTAGGTTTATGATTTGAGATCTTTCTAACTTTTTGATTTGGGCATTTAGTGCTATAAATTTACCTCTTAACACTGCTTTAGCTGTGTCCCAGAGATTCTGGTACACTGTCTCTTTGTTCTCATTGGTTTCAAAGATCATCTTGATTTGTGCCTTAATTTCATTATTTACCCAGGAGTCATTCAGGAGCAGGTTGTTCAATTTCCATGTAGTTGTGTGATTTTGAGTGAGTTTCTTGATCTTGAGTTCTAGTTTGATTGTAGTGCAAAATTATTGTAACAACAGTATTACTACCAAAATTGTAGACAAGATACATCTTCTCACATAGTAATTTATTTATTATGAATTGAGAAATTAGGAATTTTGGTTATAGTTCCTATGAAACTTTAGGATAACAGTTGTGCTCATTTTTATGTGTTGCTTGTTTCTTTTCCCCGTTAGGCTTGCGAATTTTTTTCTTATTTGTTACAATAAACCTACAAACATATTGAAATTAAAATGATCTTTCATTTTTATTGCCATTCTTATATTAGTCTATGTTTAAGTTAAATCACATTTAAGATGAAGTTGCATAGTTTGCTTCTTGATTGATGTTTTGAAGTGATTTGCAAATGTAACAATGTAAGCCTAGAGGATATCTACTAAAAAAAAAATCACCCAAACATACAGTTAACAGAAGTGCAAATATTCTTCAGTAGAAATAAATTTATACATGTTATGGCGAGCAAGTATGAGAAGAAAACATACCATAAGAGGAATTTAAATTTTGTATCAATAATTTTTTGACACTCAAGATTGTTGAACCACACTTAATACAATGGATTATTTTAAAAGCTGTGGCATAGTATTTCTGGAGAAGTATTTCCTAAATTCTTGTGATCCAGATAATTAGACCACAACCAAATTAATTTTATAATGGCATATACTTATACTCACTCTTAGAATTCACAATAGAAATGAGCTTTGCTAACTCCTGGTATAAAGAAATTGTTTACATTGTTTAACCTTATGTCTGACTTGAGACATTTGGAAAACCAGCATTTGGAAAGCAGTGTTTTGAAGTAAAATATACTACATGAATGAAATACAGTGTCTAGATTTAGGACTATTTGATGTCTGGTACCTTCTATAACCATAATTCTTCATTATAAGTCAAAATACAACAGAAGAACAAAACAAATAAATACAAAAAGCCCTATTATTTATTTCCATGAAGATACATGTAAGTTTTCCACATGATTTGGAATTTATATTATCTAAATTTTTATTTTAAGCTCACTCAAATATAGATAATTGCAAATTTGGAAAAGCAGTCAGTAATATCAAAATACTGTTATTTTGTGCCTGTGTATTTTTACAAAATATTTCGAGTCCATTCTTTCAAGAGGTTCACATCAGTATTCAAGTACTATGGTACTTTCACTAGTAGCCAAGTACTATAGTACTTTGACTAAGTATGGTAACAGCCTGTAAGCCTCCTAAAGCTGAAAAGATTAAAATTTTATTCTTAGACAATTGAATCCACTAATACAAAATAATTTAAAGTAATCGGTTAATTTTGTTTACTTCGCATTTTACTTTGCTATGTGTTTCCCTGACATATGACTCACTACCTATGTATGTCTGTGTCTGAGAAGGACATACATAGCTACGCGGAAGGGACATGCGAGGGATGAGGGAAGCATAGGCATGTTGAGGTACTTATCTCCTGCAGAGCAAACACGTCATGATCTGGAAATGACTGCATTTCCTCCCACGTGCCTAGGCTTTTCTGAATCCCTGGTTCTCTTTTCAACAGGCCCATAGAAATGTCTCTGCTTCTTTGTTGTTATTTACATTTACCAAAACTGCAGGGATTTCCTTAGATGCCTTCCAGCTAGTCTGGCTTTATAAATCAGACCTATGTCCCAAAGGAATTTTAACAAGTTTTCACTATTTTTGGGAAAACACAGGACATGTAATATATTCCATAAACTACTCCTGAAAATATTTTTTTAATTTCAGAGTTAAATTGTGTTTAGTACTACACAACTCCAATTTTCTCCTGCAATCTATAGATTTATTGACATCTGCAAAATTGTTTAGGCAGAAAGGTGGTTTCTTTTTCCATTTTAATATTAACTGCAGCCATAAAACAAGCATGGCAAACCAATGACTATATTTTGGGAAATTTTTTAGATAATTCAGTAGCTTACACAAATTGCCTTTGTTTTTTCTGAGCCTATTATAGCAGACCTGTAAGGTTTGGTTGTATATATTCATTTTTTCTACTAATGTGGAAAGTAGTTGTAGTTTTATAATTGGTGAAATAAAATGCAAGCAAGGTAATAATGACTGTATTTCACGGAGTAATTTCTAACTTTATAACTGTAAGCACAGTAAATAAAGCATGTACCTCATGCCATAAACTTATTCTCAAAGTTTATCTTAAGTTAATCAACATGTATGATTTGACTTTTCATCAAATGACCGCCCTGCCAACTTATTAACAAAGGATTTCTGGTATTAAAATTTTTTGGCAGTTATTTTGGGCCTTTCAAGATCTTTCCATTAAAATATATATTTAGTGACCACAATGGAATATGTTTTTACTCTTCAGGTTGTACAATCTTCAATGCAACTTTTTCAGGAGGATGTTTCATACAGTGTCACTGTAATCCTATAAAGTATAATATGAAGATTCAAGAGTTTTTTGTCCTTGGAGAGTACACAGAAATAGAGAAATTCACAGCAACAAATGAGCTCTTATTTCTTATATCCAGAGATGTTTTCTTACTAAATTGTTATGTATGTATACTCATGTGACATATTTTTTCTATTTGATGTCAAGTGATTCTTTTACATCAGCTCTCCATTTTAGATTATTCCCATGAAAATATGCTTTTCTTTTACTATTAAGTTAAAAGCAATTAATTCAATATGACTTATGACACCATGTTATTTAGGATATCTTATTGCAATGACAGGAATCAACAGGATCTAGCTTAAGCAAATATGGGGGATATATAACGAGGGAACAAGAAGTCTCTGTAACAGAGCTATAGTAAGATATGCATCTCTATAATGAAGCTAGGACTTAGATCTCAAGAACGAATTTAAATTAAGGGCATGAAGGCTATCAGTTCTGTCTGTCTCAATTCCTCAGCTCTTCTTTCTTTTCATTTGCCTTCTCTCTTTCTGAAGACTATCCCATTTTGATTCTAAGGCCATATGGCAGCCCATGTCTCCTGGATTGAGTTCTCCTCCATTTAATAAACATAGTTTGCCTAGTTCTGAATTCACAGGGCAAGGTTTCTGATTGGCTTAGCTTGGGTCAGGTGTCCATTTAGGACCAGTCAACTAACATTGGAGGAGGGGAATTTGATAGGTTTCTGTGCAATTTCAAGAAGCCTTGGGATGTGCTAATAAAGTAGACTGGGCAAGCACAATAATAACTGCCTACTATAGCATTTTTTGCTTAATTAAATTAATATTTATTAGACACTCATCATAAGCAAGTTATAACCGTGGTGCTGAATAAATGAGTAAAATACTGTATCTATATTCAACAATTCAAGGATGTGGCTGCTGTGCAAATCATTGGAGTACAGTGAAGACAGAGAATGGAGCTTAGTGATGATCATAAGGAGAGAAATAGGAGGTTTAGGAGCTAGGAGGTATGATCTTCCTGAGAATCTTTGAAATAGAAGAGACCTGAATATCTGTGGGAGCCAAAAGGAAAGAAGGATCAGACTCAAAGGGCAAAACTGAACTTGGAAAAGCACAGGGATTGATTGGGCAATGTCTCAAATCTGGAGAAAGAGACAAAACTGAGAAACGGGACAAGATTACTAGAAACTTACTGGACTTCTTCCTAAAAGGTAGAAACAAAGGATGAACAAAAGCATTAGTACAAATTGAGTTTTTAAGTAGAATTAATTTCTAGTAGATTTAATGAAGTTTTGGACATTCTTCAGCAATATCTACTATCTAACAGTAAAAATATTGTGGAACCATAGCTTCCCTACTGCCCAGTCCTCTGTCTGTCCTTGATGTTCATGGTGTCAGCGATTATTGGGATGGTTAACTCTGCAAGTAGTATTTAGGAAAAAGTGATTGCCCTCTTAAAGGTTACCATACCTTTCCAAAGACCATAGCCTCTGGATTCATTTCTTAGCAGTTTTATAGTTCCTTTGTTAAATGTTAGCATGTGAGATAGTAATTTTTCATAAAAAGCATATGTATACTTTTAGGTGGCATGAAAGTGTTAACTATCTGTGGACTTTTATCCAATTTCAGCTTATGGTGACAGGTTTCCTATTGTAGATGAATTGAATTAATTTTTCAAAATAACCTTTTTTTGCGAGGCTATATCAATTGGTGTGCTACAGTTAAAATGTATTACTTTGCCTATTTCCCATTTTCTACTAAAGTTTATAATTCACACAAAGAAATACAATAAAGTGTGTCTCCTGAAATTGTGCTTTGTGAAATGATGAGGCCATTACTCTGCCTTTTGAGATTAATAAATTTTTCTCTTGGCATTTGTTCCCTTATCTAACTGGCAATGTGAGTTTAAGCTTTACAGATAAATATTATACTATTGTTTTAAGTTTTGATTTTTGTTTATTCCTTATAAACATTACTTTTGAAAAATAAAGTGTATCTTCTGCAAGTTGTACACATGTATATATGAAGTAAACTTAGTCAAAGTGCTTGAGTTGCTTTGTAATTCAAAATTATGTAAGTACATTATGTTATGTTGAATAACAAAAAGTGATAACTCTAAGTTTAAATGGGTGACTAAATTTAAAAAATAATTTATACCAAGTATAGAGATAATAGATTTAAACATATCAATTTAAACTTATAGCTATCACTTCTTGTTATTTAACATAACATAATATATTCATGAATAGGTAGTAGATTCCATTTTTCATGATCAAGCTTTCCTCAAATAACCCTCCCTCCAATTTTCAATAACAACGAAACACAACAAATTAACCACTCATCCAGAAATTCTAAACTATTTACGTATAATGATTGTCACATACCTTTTTAAAGAACACTTTGTTTTCCAAATATAATTTGACTAAATGCAAATAAGAACTGAACCAATAAAATGAAGCTTTTAAAAAAATTGAACTTCTGTTTGATAAATGGAATTATTTATTTGACAACACTAAAAATATGTAAAATAATGCTTTAGAATATCATTTTAAATCCACTTTTTAATAAAAGCTTTCTTAACTAATTAATTCAACAAATATTTGTTGAGTGACTACCATGGGTTAGCTACTGTGTTAAGTTGGATGCTAGGGATGCAGTGATAAAGAAAACATGGTCCTATGAAGCTTTTGTTTTGGTGGAATGGTGGTTCTTAAACTTGCACGTGCCTCTCAATCACCTGGAGAGTTTGTTAAAACATAGGTTGTTGGGCTTGACATCTACAGTTTCAGATTCAGTATTTCTGAAGTGGGGTTCCAAATTTGCATTTCTAACAAGGTCCCATATGTTGCTGATGTTGCCAGTCCTGGGACCACACTTTGAGAACAGCTGTCCTAGAGGAGGCAGTGCTGTCTATATACCAAAACTTCAATTAGCCTATGCTGTGCTGACCCATGCATGCCCACTGCAGCTCCCCCTCTTTCATTTTTTTTCAGAAGAAAAAATGCTTTCTGTAAATACAATCTGGTATGTGGATAGTGCACAAATTATATAGTTGCTTCTTAAATTACTGAGAAATTTACGAGGTCAAGTAAATATAATTTTCAGAGATAATGCTACCTTATTTAGCCTAGTGAAAATGTATCATCAGTATTATGGCCTGATTTTCAATTTAATCATCACTTTATTTTAACATAAAGCTTTTCTTTCTGATCTTTTGGTAGCCATCCAGTTTTCCATAGTCTTTTAAATGTGATGGCCAGTGGTTCATTTATTGCAATAATTAAGATGGATAGCAGCATGCCAGCTGGAATGACTACACTTGTGTTTATTGTATAAATTATTTCCTTAGTATAAAAGCCTCTTTTATGGCTTTTGCTTTGGTCATATCTTTTGTACCCTAAACCATTAACCATAGCATGTTTAGGAGAGCCATTTATAAAGAAGCTGGTAATATTTACCAATTTCTAATCACCATTAATTCATGTCTACATTTTTCTTAGCACTGGAGATTGCTTGTTGCTTTGTTCCTTCTGCCAAGAGCAAGAAAAAAAAAGTGTTCTAACCCTTCTAGGACTCATAAGCTTTTTTTTTTCCTTTTCTTCCTTTTCTTTGATTTTTTTTTACTACATTCACACTTCTTTTATTTTGTTCTACTCTCATCTCTTTTCCTTGTGAATCTTAAGTTACTTTGGTTAGTTTACTCAAAATACATAGAAATGCAGCCCCTAATGTGAATTTCTTATAAGGCATATTTGAAATTCCTTTAAAACACAGACTGCAACTGATTTTTGTCATTTTTTTAAAATGCTACTTGAGTTTGGTGGTCTTTTGCATTTCAAAAATAATTGCATTTCAGTTTTAACAGAAATTATTCAGATATAGTTCAGACACTGATCATTTCTGTATGCATCATCGTACCCAGCAAATTTCAGTAAATATTTGCTGACCTATTTTTTTTCTTTACACTTTAGTTTCAAGGAAATTGCATGCCTGTTACCTTTCTAAAAGCTAGTGCAGTGATTGTTGGTATATTTACAATACTCATCTTTCCTTTTAAACTTTGTAAGTTTGAAAGTATAAATCAAAATGTCATATTACATCAGAATATAAATTTTATTATTACCCATATATCAAATAACTAGTTAAAGCAATTCAGAGTAGTTAAGAGGGAATATTTAGTGGCAATAAATGTATATTGTTGCATATAAATACACATATTAGGCCTAGATTTATTGTCTACAATTCTTTTAATTTCTTATCAGATTTCAGTATGAAAAAAAGTGAATGAAATAAGCAAAAGACTATATCCAGTTACTGTAACTAATGCTAATTTCATAATCTCTTAATGGTTTAATGTTATATCCTGATGGTTTTATGTTTTTTGACCAATCTTTCAGGCTATCCTTTTCTGACCACTCAAACCATGAAAACCTGCCCTCCCTGGAAAATCCAAGAGCCAGTCAGTTCCCACAAAGACAACAAGAGCCACTCTGTTTGGAAAACTTTGGCTCTTTTTCAGCAGTCACCATTGGCCTTAGAATACAGAGCATTCTTACCCACTGGCTAAGATTAACTTGGTTAGCAGACAGCCTACATCCCTTCGTATAAAAACTGTTCTTAAAAAGTAGCAAACATTGTCCTAAATTTCCTTACCCCATCCCTGACTATCATCACCTACTTTCTGTCACTGACTTGTTAATACCTTTATTGTTATATACAGATTTTATAAGTTGTCCCTACCTGTTTTTAAATAATTGAGGTTATAAGCATAATAGTTGGAAGGGTTAACTACGTTGTCCTGTTAAGGCTGATAAAAGGGCATAGATGCTTTTAAACATACACAGGAAGAATGAGAAAAGCAGATAGCCCTTGTTTGGGTCATTAAGAAGATGATAAAGTATTTTTCTTATAGCATGTTTGTGGGTAAAGTATTTGAAAGCTTCTAATCTGCCATTGATAAAACAGATACTTTACTATTAGGTTTTGAAAAATGCCTTAAAAAAATCTGCTGCAAACATCATTTAATATGTCATTTAACTTATAAATAATAAGCAGAAACCTAATATCTTCATTTTTGCAGGTATGAAATATTGTAAAAGAAATGTAAAATAAATTTTAATTTTATTCATTGATACTGTGAAGGAGAACTTTAATAGACTGAGCATAATGTATCATTTGCATTTATATAATGATTTTACCACTGTCATTTTAGAATACTATAAATTTAGAAGAGTAATACAGTAATAATAAGAATTTTTAACATTTTTTAGTCTCAGGTTCAGAGATGAGTAAAAGACCCTCAGGACATACGTAAAGAGAAGAACTCTTTCTAGACAGAAGTGAAGAAATACTAAACACTCAAGTGTAAGATTCCCTGAAGATGGAATGATGGTAGTTGTGTTGGAAGTGGTGGTGGGATTTGTTGGTTGAGGGAAGAGAAGAGAAACTAATCTATTGTTCAGAGATGGGGTTAAGTAGACCAGGGATTAGATTTCTACTCAGTTACCAGCTAGTCATTTGCCGTTGAGAAAGTTACATCAGTCTTTGGATACTTTAATTCCCATCTGTAAAATGGGGAAGGTAATACCTGTTTTATAAAGTTAGTGGCATAATTAAATTTTAAAAATGTGTATTAAAGCATTTTGTACACAAAGTAGGCACTCAAGAATCGAACTATTACTAAAGACTCTTACTATTAAAGAAAAGCAAAACTGTATTATAAAGGAAAAGCAAACAAACTCTGGACAATCAGAATTATACCAGAAGTGTATTTTCCATGGAAGTTGAACCTAGATTAGTGCATAACAAGGAACTGCTACAGGCATTGATCGTTTCTTAGAAATTGGCTACTGATTCCACAAGGAACACCCACACCTTAGTAGCTGATGATCCCCTTTTGTGTGGAATAGAAATAAATGTAAGTAGACAATAAATAAAAACTGAAATTATGTACTGTCTCTGTAATTTACGTCTAGTATTTGAAAGATCACCACTGAATCTTACGAATTTTGCTGACTCCTATACACAACTACTTGGGAAGTTTCCTTAGGGGCTGAGACACAGGAGCAGCACAGTAGAGGAGCAGTACAAAATGTTCAGGAGAAGATAATAGTCAGATAGCATTGTCACAAGAAATACGCTGTATTTTCCACTAAGCTCATGGTTGCTCTCAGTGCGGTTGTTTATTCATTCATTCATCCAGTAAATTTTTATCAAGTGTTTATATGTTATCAGCATGGAACTACCAACACCTGAAAATACAATAATCACTAAGATAGATAGAGTCCTTGCCTTTGTAGAACTTGTAGTATGTCTAAAATTTGTTTTAAATCATTCTGACTCTTTTAGAAAGACTTCTTCATATTAAGTTGAAGAAGTTGAGTAAAGTTGCCACCCCCATAGTATAGCCCTTTTAATGACCCCGTCTTTCTCATTATTAAGGAATGTCCATGTGACTTAGGTGTTCTGAAGCAAAGTAAACTCCTCTAGACTAGTGGTTTTCAACCCTGACTGCACTTAGGATCATCTTGGAAGTTTTGAAAATATGAATAATTGAGTCTAACCACAGACAATGAAATAAGAATTTCTAGACTTGGGGCTCAGGCATTAGTATTGTTTAAAAGCTTTAGAAGTGATTCTAATGTGTAGCCATGATTGCAAACGACTGCTTGAAAAAAACAGAGAAGAAAAATAGCAACTTGGGGTAGTGAATGATGACAAACAGGAAGCAAAGTGAGTGATAGAAATAACAATCATGAAGCTTTACCAAACATCCCCATCATAGATGTCAAGATAAGGCTTATACAGAAAGTAAATAAAACAGCTTACTCTTAGATAATATAGTGATTTCATTTATACTCAATGGAAATATTCCATCAAGAAATGTGCCAAATCTAGATACTTTGTCATATTATTAGAAATGTCGATATTGCAACTAGAAGATGTTGGATAGGAGGCAGGACTAGCTTGTGGCTCCCACTCAGACAGACAGAGCAGTGTGTGGAGATTCATTGTGAACCATTGCTCCAAGAACTACAGCAGGAACATACCAGGAAAGCAGAGAGAATCCACAGACCCTTTGAAGGAACTGTATCACTGCTGCAGGCTCCATGAGATGCTGAAAAACTGTGAGTCAGCTTGCTTTCTCAATGGGGAGTCTCGTGGTTTGGGGCAAATTCTCAGCCCTGGTCACCTGCTGCATAGAAATAGACTCGGTGCTGTTGGTGGGGCATGGTGGGAGTGAGACCGGCCTTTAGGTGTGCAGGCTGCATGGGAGCGGGGTGTGGCCCGTGACTGCTGGCTTTCTCCCACTTCCTTGGAGACCTGTATGACTCAGCAGAGGCAGCCATAATCCCCCTTGGAATGTAACTCCATTGGAGTTATAACTGCACCCCCATCCCCCATGGCAGCCACAGCAAGCTCTGCCCAGGAGAGGCTGAGTTCAGACACGTCTATCCCTGCCCCTACCTAGTGGTCATCCTCTGCCTGCCCAGGTAGCCAAAGACAAAGATCATAATCTCCTGGGAGCCCTATAGCCCTGCCCACCGTCTGAGAAACCTGAATACTTAACCAGGTGTCCCTAGGGCAAGTTTGCATCTTCTCTATAGGATTGCAGCTGATGCGCTTTTTTTTTTTTTTTTTTTTTTTCTTAAATGGAGTTTTGCTCTTGTTGCCCAGGCTGGAGTGCAATTGTGCAATCTCAGCTCATTGCAACCTCTTCTTCCTGGGTTCAAGTGATACTCCTGCCTCAGCCTCCCAAGTAGCTGGGATTGCAGATGCCCGCCACCACGCCCAGCCAATTTTTGTATTTTCAGTAGAGACGGGGTTTCCCCATGTTGGCCAGGCTGGTCTCGAATTCCTGACCTTAGGTGATCCACCCACCTCAGCCTCCCACAGTGCCGGGATTACAGGTGTGAACCGCCACACCCAGCTCTGATGTGCTCTTGAAAGCATCACCTTCTGGCTGGAGGCCAACAAACACAAAATCAGTGCACTAAATAAAAACACAACCAGGGACCCTTATGGTGTCCACTTCACTCCCCTGATACCTTCACCGGAGCAGGCTGCGAGACCTGAAAACGGATCACATCACAAGACTCATTGCAGACACTCCCCAGTACCAGCCTAAGCTGGTAGCTCCACTGGGTTGCCAGACCTAGAAGAGCAAAAACAATCATGACGGTTTGGCTCTCAGGAAGCCCCACTCCTAGGAGAAGGGGGAGAACACCACATCAAGGGAGCACCCTGTGGGACAAAAGAATCTGAACAACAGCCCTTGAATCCCAGATCTGCCATCTGACATAGTCTACACCAACGAAAAGGAATCAGAAAAACAATTCTGGTAATACGACAAAAGAGGTTTCTTCAACACCCCAAAAAGATCATATCAGCTCACCAGCAATGGATCCAAACCAAGACAAAATTCTCTGAATTGCCAGAAAAAGAATTTAGAAGGTTGATTATTAAGCTAATCCAGGAGCCACCAGAGAAAAGTGAAGTCCAACTTAATGAAATAAAAAACATGATACAGGATATGAAAGGAAAATTCTTCAGTGAAATAGATAGCATAAATAAAAAACAATCACAACTTCTAGAAATCAAGGACACACTTAGAGAAATGCAAAATGTACTAGAAAGTATCAGCAATAGAATTGAACAAGCAGAAGACGGAACTTCAGAGCTCAAAGACAAGTCTTTTGAATTAACCCAATCTGTCAAAAACAAAGAAAAAGAATGGAAAAAAAATGAACAAAGCCTCGAAGAAGTTTGGGACTATGTTCAACATCCAAACCTAAGAATAATTGGTGATCCTGAGGAAGAAGAGAAATCTAAAAGTATTGAAAACATATTTGAGGGAATAATTAAGGAAAACTTCCCTGGAATTGCTAGAGATCTAGACATCCAAAGATGAGAAGCTCAAAGAACACCTGGGAAATTCGTTGCAAAAAGATCATTGACTAGGCATGTAGTCATCGTTATCTAGTCAAGACAAAAGAAAGAATCTTAAGAGCTGTGAGGCAAAAGCATCAGGTAACCTACAAAGGAAAACCTATCAGATTAACAGCACATTTCTCAGCAGAAACCCTACAAGGTAGAAGGGATTGGGGTCCTATTTTTAGCCTCCTAAACAAAACAATTATCAGCCAAGAATTTTGTATCCAGTGAAACTAAGCTTCATAAATGAAGGAAAGATACAGTTGTTTCCAGACAAACAAATGCTAAGAGAATTTGCCACTACCAAGCCAGCACTACAAAAACTGCTAAAAGGAGCTCTAAATCCTGAAACAAATCCTCAATATACACAAAATAGAACCTCCCTAAAGCATAAATCTCACAGGACCTATATAACAATAACACAATGAAAAAAAAAACAAGGTATTTAGGAAAAAAAATAGCACGATGAATAGAATGGTACCTCATATCTCAATACTAACATTGAATGTAAATGACCTAAATGCTCCACTTAAAAGATGCAGAATGACAGAATGGATAAGAAGTCACCAACCAAGTTTCTGCTATCTTCAGGAGACTCACCTAACACATAATGATTCACATAAACTTATGATAAAGGTGTGGAAAAAGATATTCCGCAAATGGACGCTAAAAGCAAGCAGGATTAGCTGTTCTTATGTCAGACGAAACAAACTTTAAAGCAACAGCAGTTAAAAAAGACAAAGAGGGGGCCCAGTGGGGTGGCTCATACCTGTAATCCCAACACTTTGGGAGACCGAGGCAGGCAGACCACTTGAGGTCGGGAATTCGAGACCAGCCTGACCAACATGGAGAAACCTTGTCTCTACTAAAAATACAAAATTAGCTGGGCGTGGTGGCACATGCCTGTAATCCCAGCTACTTGGCAGGCTAAGGCAGGAGAATCGCTTGAACCTGGGAGGTGGAGGTTGCAGTGAACCAAGATCATACTATTGCACTCCAGCCTGGACAACAAGAGCAAAACTTCGTCTCAAAAAAAAAAAAAAAAAAAAAAAAAAAGACAAAGAGGGACATTATATAATGATAAAAGGACTAGACCAACAGGAAAATACCCCAATTCTAAATACATATGCACCTAAGAGTTCTCAAATTTATAAAACAATTACTACCAGACCTAAGAAATGAGATCGATGACAACACAATAATAGTGACGGACTTTAATACTCCACTGACAGCACCAGACAGGTCATCAAGACAGAACGTCAACAAAGACACAATGGACTTAAACTATACTTTATAACAAATGGACTTAACAGATATTTACAGAACATTCTACCCAACAACTGCAGAATATACATTCTATTCATCAGCACATGGAACATTCTCCAAGACAGATGATATAATAGGCCACAAAACAAGTCTCAGTAAATTTAAGAAAACCAAAATTATATCATGTACTCTCTCAGACCACAGTGGAGTAAAATTGGAAATCAATTCCAAAGGGAACCCTCAAAGCCATGCAAATACATGGAAATTAAATAACTTGCTCCTCCATGATCATTGCATCAACAATAAAATCAAGATGGAAATTTAAAAATTCATTTAATTGAATGATAATAGTGACACTGTTCCCGGACCAAACTGAGGGTTGGGCTGTTATTTCTCACAGCCCCATAATGAGATGCAGATAAACTGGGGAGGAAGAGAGTTTTTATTTCTGTAACCGGTTACAGGGAGAAGACCTGGAAATTATCACTAGACCAATTCAAAATTATAAAGTTTTCCAGAGCTTATATACTTTCTAGGCTATATGTCTATGTGTAAGTGTGCATTCGCCTAAAGACACAGTGATCAACTTCTTTTAATCTGTAACTAAGGTCTGAGTCCTGAAGACCTTGCTCTGGAGCCTCAGTAAATGTCTTACTTAATCTACATGGGTCCAGATACTGGGGTAATTACCCTTATCTTGTCTCCTGCTAAATCATGGAGGTTTGAGGAGTTCTTCAGACCCCCAATAAACTTGTTTGTGGAGGTCTGGGAAGTTTCTTTAGACCCACAATAAAACTTTAGTCCTAAATGGGTCCTATTAAGAATTCCTTCGTTATTTTGTCATGCTTTAAGGCCCAGGAAAGGCCTAGGCAAAACTCCTGATGGGCTTTTTGTTACATCCCAGCCATTGTATAAGGGCACTGGCTTTTAATATTTAACTTAACCACTCAGTCAATACTGAAACAGCTGTTAGTGAGAGCTGACCTACCACAACACAACCTATCAAAACCTCCGGGAAACAGCAAAAGTGGTGCTAAGAGGAAAGTTCATAGCATTAAATGCCTACATTGGAAAGTTTGAAAAAGCACAAATAGACAATCTAAAGTCACACCTTATGGAACTGGAGGAACAAAAACAATCCAAATTCAAACTCAGCCGAAGAAAAGAAATAACTAAGATCAGAACACAACTAAATGAAATTTAAACGACAACAACAACAAAAAACAATAAAAAGATAAATGAAAAAAAAAAACTGGTTCTTTGAAAAGGTAAATAAAACTGATAGATCATTAGCAAGATTAACCAAGAAAAGGAGACAGAAAATCCAAATAAGCTCAATTACAAATGAAACGGGAGATATTGCAACTGACACCACAGAAATACAAAAGGTCATTCAAGACGACTATGAACACCTTTACGCACATAAACTAGAAAATGTAGAGGAGACGAATAAATTCCTGGAAACATACAACCCTCCTATATTAAACCAGGAAGATACAGAATCTCTGAACAGACCAATAACAAGCAACAAGACTGAAATGGTAATAAAAAGAAAATGCCAACAAAAAAAAGTCCAGGACCAGATGGATTCACAGCTGAATTCTATTAGACATTCAAAGAATTGGCACCAATCCTAATGACACTATTCCAAAAGATAGAGAAAGAGGGAATCCTCCCTAAATCCTTCTGTGAAGTCACTATCACCCTAATACCAAAACCAGAGAAGGACATAACAACAACAGCAACAACAACAAAAAAAAAACAACAGATCAGTATCCCTAATGAACATAGATGCAAAAATCCTAAACAAAATGCTAGCAAACCAATTCCAACAGCATATCAAAAAGATAGTCCACCAAGATTAAGTGGGTTTCATACCAGGGATGCAGGGATTGTTTAACATACATAAGTCAATAGATGCGATACACCACATAAACAGAATTAACAACAAAAATCACATGATCATCTCAATAGATGCAGAAAAGGCATTTGACAAAATTCAGTATCCCTTTATTATTAAAGCCCTCAGCAAAATTGGCAGAGAAGGGATATACCTTAAGGTAATGAAAGCCATCTATGACAAACCCACAGCCAACATCATACTGAATGGGAAAAGTTGAAAGCATTCCCCCAGATAACTGGAACAAGATAAGGATGCCCACTTTCACCACTTCTTTTCAACACAATACTGGAAGTCCTATTCAGAGCAATCAGATAAGAGAAAGAAATAAAGGGCATCCGAAGAGGAAGTCAAACTGTCACTGTGTGCTGATGATATGGTTATATATCTAGAAAATCCTAAAGACTTATTAAGATCCTAGAACTGGTAAATGAATTCAGCAAAGTTTCAGGACACAAAATTAATGTACACAAATCAGTAGCTCTGCTATATACTAACAGTGACTAGGCTGAGAATCAAATCAAGAACTCAACCTGATTTACAATAGCTGCAAAAAATAAAATAAAATGCTTAAGAATATACCTAACTAAGGACGTGAAAGACCTTACAAAGAAAACTACAAAACACTGCTGAAAGAAATAATACATGACACAAACAAATGAAAACACACCCCATGCTCATGGTTGGGTAGAAACAATATGGTGAAAATGACCATACTGCCAAAAGCAATTTACAAATTCAATGCAATTCCCATCAAAAATACCACCATTATTCTTCACAGAACTAGAAAAAAAAAACTTAAAAGTCATATGAAACAAAAAAAGAGCCCACATAGCCAAAGCAAAAAGAACAAATCTGGAGGCATCACATTACCCTACTTCAAACTGTACTATAAGGCCATAGTCACCAAAACAGCATGATACGGGTATAAAAATAGGCACATAGAACAATGGAACAGAATAGAAAACCCAGAAATAAACCCAAATATTTACATCCAACTGATCTTTGACAGAGCAAACAAAAACATAAGGTGGGGAAAGGACACCCTATTCAACAAATGGTGCTGGGATAATTGGCAAGCCACATGTGGAAGAATGAAACTGGATTCTCCTCTTACCTTATACAAAAATCAACTCAAGATGGATCAAAGACTTAAATCTAAGACCTGAATCTATACAGATTCTACAAGGTAACATAAGAAAAACCTCTCTAGACATTGAGTTAGGCAAAGACATCAAGACCAAGAATCCAAAAGCAAATGCAACAAAAACAAAGGTAAATAGTTGGTACTTAATTAAACTAAAAAGCTTTTGCACAGCAAAAGGAACAGTCAGCAGAGTAAACAGACAACCCACTGAGTAGGAGAAACTCTTCACAATCTGTACATCTGACAAAGGACTAATATCCAGAATCTACAAAGAATTCAAATAAATCAGCAAGAAAAAAAACAATTCCATCAAAAAGCGGGCTAAGGAGATGAATAGATAATTCTCAAAAGAAGATGTACAATTGACCAATGAGCATAAGGAAAAAAGCTCAACATCACTAATTATCAGGGAAATGCAAATCAAAACCACAGTGCAGTACCACCTCACTCCTGAAGAATGACCATAATCAAAAAATTAAAAAATAATTGATGTTGGAATGGATGCAGTGAAAAGGGAACAGTTTTATGCTGTTGGAGGGAATGTAAACTAGTACAACCACTATGGAAAAACAATGTGGAGATTCCTTAAAAACTAAAAGTAGATCTACTATTTGATCCAGCAATCCCGCCACTAGGTATCTACCCAGAGGAAAAGAAGTCATATGAAAAAGATACTTGCACATGCATGTTTATAGCAGCACAATTTACAATTGCAAAAATATGGGACCAGTTCAAATGTCCATCAGTCAATGAGTGGATAAAGAAAATGTGACATATATATATATACACACACACCATGGAATGCTACTCAGCCATAAAAAGGAAGGAAATAATGATATTCACAGCAACCTGTATAGAATTGGAGACTATCATTCGAAGTTAAGTAACTCAAGAATGGAAAACCAAGCATCATATATTTTCACTCATATGTGGGAGCTAAGCTATAAGGGTGCAAAGGCATAAGAATGACGCATTGGACTTTGGTGACTCAGGAGAAAGGCTGGGGAATGGCAAGGGATAAAGGATGACACATTAGGTACAGTGTACACTGCTCAGGTGATGGGCACAGCAAACTCTCAGAAATCACCACTGAACAACTTACTCATGTAACCAAACACCACCTGTTCCCCAAAACCTATAGAAATTAAAAAAAAATTAAAAAGAAAAGAAATTTCCTGTCCTAACAATCAATGAATTATTTTATCATATATTGCCAATAGGAGCTAAACAACGAGTTTGGGCCAGATTGATCTGTATTTTCTAATATACTTTATTTTTTAGAGATGTTTTATATTCACACCAAAATTCAACAAAAGGTACAAAAATTTCCTATATATCCCCTTTTGCAACATGTGCATAGCCTTCTCCATTATCAACATGCTCCATGAGAGAGGTACTTTGTTACAACTGATGACCCCAGCGTTGACACATTATTATCACCCATGATCCATAGCTTACATTAGGGTTCACGCTTGCTGTTGTACATTCTGTGAGTTTGGGAAAATGTGTCATGACATTTATTCCTATCTTTAAAAATAGGAGTACCAACCGGAACTTGAATTTGGCCCTTGTATCTTTACAGTGCTGGTTTTATTTTACTCTCATAGTCATCTTTTGATGCTGTAACAGAACCACCTGACTACCCATACTATTTGTAGGTTGTCTCCAAGATTGCCAATATGGGTCACCCAGAATTAGCACAATGGGAAAGGCAGGTTGGCTAGGCCACCTTAATAACCACAAAGACAAATTGTCTTAAATTAGAGGAAAAAAGGTAGTGTCTACCAAGACATCTACCGTAAAATCTATCTGAAAATTAGAATTGGTTTAAGGTGAAGTAAGTCAGAAGAGTTAATGTCCATTTCTTGTTCATGTACGTGTGTATGTTTGAGTCTTTATGTAGTACCACTCTGAGTGTTTATGTAGTTATGTGGTACTACATAAATACTCAAACATATACACATACATGAACCACCATGTAATACCACCGTATTGTCTGTATCTCCGGGGATATAGGCTTTGCTAACTTGTTTTATGATCCACTGTTGATACATTTGTAAATCTAAATGCTAACTCATTTATTCTGTTTACCTTTCCGAGGCAGGCAGGTTCAATTGACTTAACAGCAGGCTAGCAACTCAGAGACTGTGAAATCTAATCACATTTTGACCCATTCTTAAATTGCTTCATCTGTGAAAAAATGTTTGATGAATGCAGTACTCTCTTGTGAGGGTTTGTATGAAGAATAAATATTAGAAATGATTGTGGGGCACTTTGAAAATAAAAATTGTTATGAAATGATAATTATATTCAAAACACCCTTTGACATCAACTTACAGAGGAAAAAGTGTAATTTTTCCCATTGTAGACCTTTTTAAGGAATTCCATATTTGGTTTATCCCTAGAATTTTCTATACTTGTGTATACCATACTTCTCCTAACCCATTAATGGAGTTGTTAAACATCATATAATATTGAAAGATATTTCTATTAGATGAGCTTTCAATTATTAATGGTAATGGAAAAACATTAATGCAGCTCTTACAACATGACAGACTGTCAGAAAGATCTCAGGAATAGTGAAGGGCCAGAGATCCTAGAGTCCCTGATCTGTATAAATTTGCTGCAGTATCTTTATAAAGTGGATAATAATTGTGTTAGAGATCATTTGATCAGGGAGAACCCAGCTCAACTGTGCAATTCAGAAGAGCTGGGAGTTAGGAGGAGGTTATCCTCAATATATTAAGGCATTCCAGTTCACTTCTGGATGTCCCACTTGGTAAAAGAAAGTACATTTTTCATTGCATAGTAGCAGCATCCACAGCAGCAGAAGTAGCAGTAGAAATAGCAGTAGCAGTGATAGTAGCAGTGGAAGTGGTAGTAGTAGCAGCAGCAGCAGCTGGGATAATAGGAATAGTAACAATGGCATCAGGAGCATTAGCTAACATTTTATTAACTGTTACTATGTGGCAGGCACTGTTCTAACCTCTTTACACGTTTCCATTCATTTAATTTTCATAACGCTCTTTGTAACACGGGTAATTCCCATCTTAGGGAATACTGTCTATGAGAATATTATTCATCAAAAATGAGCAAAGGGACAAAGGGAGAATAGATATGCAGTGCTCAAAGTTTAGAGATGCTGTGTAGTCATTTGAAGAGAGCTGAACAGGACTTCTTCCAGCCTAAAAGACAACAGAAATCCTCAGGTGACTAGGCACCTGCTGCCATAGATAGCTTCTGATGTTGGAGAGAACACAGAGAAAGCTCTACAGTCCTCTGTGTTTAGGATCCCATAACCTAGAAAAGAAGTATAACCTAAAATTAAGGAGGAGAATATTTTTATTCTAAAGATGAAAAGTATAAGAAATGATTTAATCACATATAAAAAATTTATGTTGTAAACAGGAGCAAAGGCGAAAAAAATCTCATACTGATAAGGGCATTTTTATGAACTGAAACAGGTTGCTGAAGGAGGAAATAGAATCTTTTCCCCTAGAGGCATTTAATGTCAGGACTAATAGCATCAGGATAAAATGCTATAAGTAAAACCCTGAGAAAGAAGGGATAAACCTCTAGAGTCATTTTCAGGTCTATGGTTTTATAAAGTAATTCTTAAATGTTTAATATATTAGAATGGGAGGAATAGATCTATGTGTCCAAATAATTAGGACATTGGTTTCCTTCAGGATTCTGTCTTAATAACCTTGAAGACTGTGGTGAAACAAAGAACATCAAGGTCAAAAAGAATTAGAAACAAATGTGCTTTATTCTCATTGTGAACTGATATGATAGATAATACTTGAGCTATATAATTATAATTAATTTGAAATGCAGTACTTGAAATTTAAGCAGATGTATTCCTCTCACTGTAACACTGTTAGAGGTAAAATAAAGGAGAATAATTTTATACTCAAATCTAGTAAAATTAGCGATCCATATGGACTTCATTTTATGCAAATTATTAATCTTGTATTTGCACTTTTGCGTTTGGGAAGTAGAAGAATTGTAATTCAGAATCGGAATGTTGAAAGTGTCATATTGTTTCTTTTACACGTGAGATGATTTACAGTTTTAAGTGTTATGCTCTTCAGAAGAAAAACAACTTACATTGAGCCCCAGAAGTCAACATGAGGAGAAAGCAAATGACGTTTTGTTTAACTTAAGAAAAAGTTTTCCTAGCCACCTAATTTTGGAAAATACTTGGAATATGTGTGAATAAAAATACAAAATACATAATGTTCATCCAAAGGGCTTAACATTTTATATTAGATACAAAATAAGAACTGATGGGTGTGTTAATAGGAATATTAAATAGAATTTCTCTCAAGGAAAGATTTTAAAGGAAATGATCATAAACATTGTGCCGATAAATCACTCATCATATAATAAACAAAACATGATTAAATATTTATCTAAATTTAACAGTTTTAGATGCTTAAGTTTTGCTTGGGTTCTATTAATTTGTGCATGTAGTTAAGAAATATATCTTGCCATTCAGGTAGACCCAGTTCTAAACAAAAGTTCTACCACCAACTAGCATAGTGACACGTGACCTTGTACAGGTTAGTAACATCTCTAAGTTCTCCATTTCTTCGACTGTAAAATGTGAATAATGATATTATTTATCTCAGTGCCCTTGTGAGGATTAAATTAATTAGTGAATTAAGTGCTTCATACAGTGACTGATGTTTGATAGGTGTCAGTGGAGATAACATTTTGTAATTATTATATATGATTTAAAATGCATGTGATAACACCATATAGTTTAGGTTATATGTGTATATTTGTACAGTATTTCTTCTGATGTTAAATTTCTGTATACATTTTCTTGTAAATAAGAATAGAAAATAGTGTCTCCATCTTCTCTCTACACATTTGCACATCTTTCCAATCTTACAGACCTGGGTGATTGTGCTGTAGGCTAGAATATGCGCAGACTCTAGTCAAACATACTTGATATCTACTTCCTCCTCTGGTGCATAGTAGATGGATGTGGGATAAGTCACCTAGCCCATTTCTGAACTTCAGTTGTAATCTGTAAAATGAGATCATTGATAGCTAACTAATAGGTTGCTTGGAAGTACAGATGTAACAATGTCAAGAATCTCCATAGTTGACATAGAACAGACTTAATACTGAATAAGTAAAGTGTCCACAGCTGCTGTTATTGCAATGTGTGTTTGTCCATTAGAGGCCTCCTTTTAATTACACTTTCTTTCAATTAAATAATGCAAAATAAGGTAATTAGAAAATAGTATGTTTAATGTTTTTGACTAAAGTTTTGCACTCACTAAATGGAAGAATAAATAATTAGTTAGGCCTAATATGGTCATGTGCCATGATGTTATTTATCAAACATTATTTAGTTCCATTTAGCAAATTTAATGCCTACTATATGCAAAACATCATGTTCAATGCTGGCAAAGGGGGATGATGAATGTTAATAAATTAGATATAGTTCTGCTACTTAGTGACTTAAAATCCAGTGATTGACAGAAACACAGAGGTTAATTTACGGTTGTCAGTAAAAGTATATGAAGAAATGCATAAATGGTCGAGTGCAGTGGCTCATACCTGTATTCCCAGCACTTTGGGAGGCTGAGGCTGGCGGATATCCTGAGCCCAGGAGTTTGCCACCAGTCTGGGCAAAACCGATGGAATGATGAAATTCCATCTTACAAAAAAAAAAAAAAATGCAGAAATTAGCCAGGTGTGGTGCTGCGCACCTATGGTCCTAGGAACTCAGGAGGCTGAGGTGGGAGGATTGTATGAGCCCAGAAGATGGAGGTTCAGTGAGCCAAGATCATGCCACTGCACTTCAGCCTGGGTAACAGAGCAAGACCCTGCCTCAAAAACAAACAAACAAAAATAAAGTACTGTGAGATAGAATAGGAAACTGTGAGATAGAATAGGAATACAGGATTGTCTGAATGGAGTGAATTGGAACGCCTCCTTATGCAAGTGACCTAGAAAGGAAGAGGAGGCTGCTATGAAGTTTAAACGCTCTCTAGAAAACAGCATGAACAAAGAAAGACTTGGATTTGAGAAAGCTCAGAGCATGTTCAGGGTACTGAAATGTAGGGTGCTGGTGTGCTTATATGTATGTGCAGTTATGTTTATTTGTGAAAAATGAGCTAAGGGTCAGAATATAGGGGGACATAAATTTTAAAAGCATAACTTATAATTATATTGAAGAAGGACTTGAATTCTAGGCCAAGGTGTGTGATCTTATTTTGTATATATTGGGAATACATCAAAGGCTTTTGACCAAGGAAATGAAAAAACCCAATTTTTATTTGAGAAAGATAACCCTGATGCCATTGTTTAAGATATGTCTGCAGAGAGTGAGTTTAAAGCTGGGAGAGCATTTAGGAAGCTAATGTGAAGATAAGGGGAAAAAGCAGATATCGTCTGACCTAGAGCCTCAGCTGTGAAAATAGAGCTGACTCAAGAGATCTATGTCAGCCTGGATAGTTTGGCCTCCTCTGTTAAACAGTGTTTCGAATGACTTGTAAGTCTAGCAGCCTGAACATGCAGCGTAGTCCTTTTTAGAGCACATGTTGGAAGAGTTGATAGATGTCCATTTTCCCGTGCTTATTTACTGAAAGACTCCAGGAAAGGTACCTCAATTTGCTTTCTCTGTAAACATAATTACTTGCTTTCATCCCTTTGGTCTCAGAGAGTTTTAAGGATTAATTAGTTGAGACGAAGTGCCTCAAAAAGAACAAGTATGGAACATATGGTTTTCCTGATACAAATAAATCTTATAGATGCGTCCATGCTGTCTTTGGAAGCCCAGCAAATAAAAGACATGCAAAAATTGTGTAAAGTAGAAGATAAGCTGAGATCAACAAATAATAAATCCCCAGCATTAGCTTTTGCATAGGAAATAAACATTTCTGTCCACTGACAACAGCTTTCTTTTAAAGGAAAACAACCTGATGATCAGCCCCAAGGCCACATTAATATCAGCCAAAGAAACATTTATTGGTTCTCTTCTGGAAACCATAACAATGAGCATGTTGCATCAAATTGGTCACACATAAATTAGTTTTTTTGAATCGATAACCTTTTATTTATTTCTGTTAAAGTGATATATTTTTCCTAAAATATTTGTTTTCTTTCTGTGCCCTCTTTCTTTTCAAGTTACCTCCACAGATTTATGTCAAAATATTATGTTCATTATACTTTTGCTAGTGGCTTGCTTTGATGCAACCATAAATGAATATCATTACACTTTACAAAGATAATTTATTTTCTAGGCTTTGCTGTCATGCTATATGTAGCTTGTATAGTTAAAACATATAGAAACTAAAATATTTTGGGGCCTAAAGAAAGTTTATTATTTTGTTTTTGGCTTTTCAAATTGACATTCTCCATTGTATCTCTATAATTTAAGGCAACCAGGTATGACATGCGCAATTTATTTGCTAAGACAAACCAGATATGCTGGATAAAGCTCTTTGGGGCAGTCTTGCAACTCTCTCCTTGTCCCCAAATTCAGCCCATTTTTATTAGCTTCTATCTGGCTCCTGATTCTTTGCTGCATCTGTCATTCTCAACTTGACTTTGTTCTTTCTCTTAAGGATAAGGATAAGTCTTAAGGATAAGACTCTCCTTATCACTGTTTACATTGAAGGATACTTAGTCATTAGGATGTCTCTGTAAGACTTTATACCCTTAAGGGAAGACTTTAATGTGCCTGAAGCTGTGTTTTTCCAAATGTAACATTTAATATCTCCTTAACACTCTTTTAATACACCCTATATAGTTGGCATTGCTACATTCCAGCTATGTGATATTGGTCAATTTACTAAACTTTTCAGTTCTTAATTTTTCTACTTATAAAATTGTGATAATAAGAATAATTGCTTCAGAGCATTGTTGTGAGAAAATTATATATAAAATCACACCATAAATAATACATATAATATACTTAGCTCAGTTTATGGATCACAGTAATAGTTCAGCAATTGCATATTATTATTATTGATAATAGTAACCGTTATTATGCAATTGCTCCGTATTGCTCCTCATCCTGTGTTCCCATTCTTGATAAATGTTACCACCATTCGACCAATTTTTAGACCAATGTCCTGAATTATCATTGACACATCTTCACTCATCTTATTTCTATGCATTGCCGTATTCTTAAGTTCAAGCCACCATCATTTCTTCCTTGAATTACTGATAACTTCTTCCTTGAATTACTGATAAATGTTAATAAATTAGATATAATTCATTTTCATAATTCCTTGAATTACTGCAATAGCTAACTCATCTCCCTACATTTCCCTTGCATACTGTGCAATTCATACTCATAATAGAGCTGGAGAGAATTTTGGAATATTTAAGTCTGATCATGTTACCTCTTACTTAAAATGTCTCAGTAGCCTCTCATAACTTCTAATATGAAGTCTAAAATCCTTGATATGAGCTATAATAAAAGCCCAGCATGACATGTCCTTTGCCTAATTCCCCTGTGCCATTCATCTCCTCTTTATCACCTTTGTACTCAAGCTTTGGCTTTTCTGAACTTTCCTTATTTTCAAAAATGTCTCCCAGCCCCACTTCCACCCGAGACATTCACACACCCCATTTCCTCTTCCAGGAAGGCTCTTATGTCGCCTGGGTAAACTTACTCTTCAAGTCTAGTGACTTTTTTCCAGAAGCTTTCCTGATATCTTTCCATTTCACCCCACTGCTGACTTATTAAAATTTCTAGAATTTTATACTTTTACACTACATTCTCTGTGTTGTATTCTCTTATTCAGGGTCTGCTATTTAATTTTTAAGTTCCTTGAAAATAGAGACAATTTCATTGTTTTCATCAGTTTGGTCCAAGTATATATAACATAGATGAAAAATAGATATTTTGTATTATATATATTATATAAATAATTGTTGAATGAGATGAATAAACTATAGTGAGAAGATGCTAGGCTTTGTTAACCATTCAAACCTAAGCTCAAATCCCAGCGCGGCCACTTGCTACCTCTGGTACTTTGAACAAATTCTTTAGCCTTGTTTCTTTGATTTTGTTTTGTTTCAGTCAGGAAATTGTAAGATAATTATAGTCTCCTCATTATTCTTGTAAGAGTAAAATAAGGAAACATGGGTAAAGCACTTAACATAGAATATATTTTCTATAAATTTTACTTCCTCTTTTTTTTCATTTATAAAGTTGTTCTTCCAAAGTAGTAGTATTAACATTGAATAGTGTAAAGCATTCATGCCATTTTATTGTATCTTCTCTTAGGACATACAGAAGATAATTTGGTCCCTCTTGTCAATATTCTTGGAGTGATTGATGACAAACCATTTTAGTGTCCCTAGAAATGGAGGACTTACTGCCCCTTTTTTTCAAAAATGAATATTCTTTTTTTTTGGCTATAATCTGAGGAGGAGATGCAGTGATCTAAAGGTAAAAGTATCAGAAAAAAGAATTGTCCTTTTGCTGATTGATTTGAGGGATGTGATTATGTAGTACATTGATGCTGACTCACCCTGAGTAAAAAATTCGTTACATTCTCATTTCCTCCTACTAATATATGGCTGTGGTCTTTCTTACAAAGGCCTTTAAATTCACCAAGTATAAGCTCTAATGAAAATCTTGTGTATTTTTAAAATGTCTCTTACTTGATATGTAAAGGAAAACAGAACAAAGGCATTGAAGAGGTAACTCTTTTGGTTTTAGGAATATTAAAATGCAATCTTCACCAGCTGTCCATTTTTAAATTAGATTTCAGTTTTTCACATGGGGTACTGTGTGTGTTGGTTAGCATTGGAGTAAGAATTTAAATTCTTAAAAGCTTTGAAGTTAATTCTGTATTAAGAAACAACTGAGAGGTTGAGTATGGCACTATTTCTTCCTGAATCTGAGATCAAGCAGATGTGCCTCTTTCAATCAGTTTTTACTACCATGAGATTTAAAGCAAAGAAAAAAAAAACAGTTAATGACAGTTCAAATTCACTTAGTAGAGTAACGTGTTCTAAAATGGAGGATTGTAATGGTTGAAGAATTGGGTTATGTTTTTCTCTTGGTGTGTGTCATTTTGTATTGTTTTGTCTTGCCACTAAGTTAATTTGATGCATTTCCCTCAGAAATTGGGGTAGTGGGGTGTTTACATCAGAAGACTATGACCAAAGTAAAATGAGGGGTGAAATATGCTTTTAAAAATATAGAGCAAAAGCAGTGATTGATACTATAGATCTTCAATTTTATCTTCAGGTTCTAGAGTTTTCCAGATATTCACTGTAGAAAAAAAAAGACTTCTGGTCACAAATTCTGTTACTTTCACACCAAACCCCAAAACATTTCACCGAATTTCTTATCTTCCTACTCTTTCATTTCTACCATTTTCTTTCTTTCTTACAAATAAACCTTCCTTATCAAATCCCATTTTCTGTGCTTTATTTGAGCAATTGATACATCCTACTTTCTTTAGATATCATTTTCCTTTGCCTCCAGATACAACTGCATCTATGGGGTCTCTGATTTTTATAGCTTGTTAGAAGAAGATGCTGTATTATATAGGATAAAAATTATTATATAATACCTATGTATACAAAATAATAAATTCCCCCATAATTTAAAAATAATGTAGTATTATAGTTTAAAGTTAGGTTCTCTTCATCTACTTCCTGAAACTCTACAGTGAGGCCAAAGGAATTGAATTTAAAGAATAATTCTGGAATGTCTATAAGTTAAATAGACGACTTGATTTCTGAGTCACGTTCAGATTGACGCCACTTCTTTTCATTGCTGCATTTGAGAAAATAGTGTAGAAACAGGTACATTCTGACTATATAAGACATAACTAATAAAAGTGAAAACAAAGAACAAAAGTCAGGGAAACACTAATGGTTCTAGAGCACTAATGGGAAAATGAGGAAGTACATCAAGAAAGGGCTAAACTGCATTCACCTTGACAGCTGGTAGAGGTGATACGCCAAACTGCATTGCAGAGAACATAGCAACTGCACGATGTTTCAACAGTCATTTTGACAGGGAAAGTCCAGGGACAAAGAAGGAAAATGAATATAAAGAGCAAAATTTTGTTAAGCCTTGAAACAGAAAAATTTCCCATAGGGAATTTTTTAAAAATATGGCAGACTAGAAAGTATTAGTTGTCCCAAAGGAGTCTTATTTTTCCAATTGAAGTAGCTGCTGCTTATCTGAAACTTAACAGTTTGTTGTGGCCAAAATAAGCAGGTGGTTATAAGAAATTAAATTTCCCTGGAGAATGAATAATAGTGACATACAAGTAATTATAATATCACATGATTCACATTCTGAAGAAGGTCAAATAATAAACATATAATTCATTTCCATCTGCCAACATGAATATTTGTTGAGTGCCTACTGTGTGCCTGGCACAGCTAGCTTCACGGTTCTATCTGGATATATAGATGGAAGACGGGTGAGTCAGAGAAAGAGATAAAGACTTTTTATATATACAAGCACAAATAAAAAAACCGTTTTGGAATTTTTGCAGAATTGCAAATGTTACTTCATATTTTAAAGTCAAAAAAATAGCAAATATAAAACACTTAAAATTTTTTTCTAAAAGGTAGTATTTCAATTTTACCATAGAGAGATGGTTGCCTTATCTAACATCTCGAAAAGAGCCACCCTTTGATGTTCCTCTTCCTCTCTCTCTTCCTTTCTCTCTTTATCCCTGTCTTCTACACCTTTATTAAAAAAATGGTCTTCTCAGTATTTTTAATATAGAATTCTGCAAATGAAATAAAGAACATTACTTATGTAGGCACTGAACACATTTCAATGTTTTTCTTTTTAAAGAAAATGACAGGTTCTGCACACTGGTATCTACTAAAAATGAACCCAACTTTGCCTCTGAGAATGTTACTGTGAAGAAATGCTGCATCTAAACTTCAGCCAAAATATGCTAATTAGAAAATGAAGCTGAATGAATTGCTTTGCTAGATGAGATTATTTGGAATTATATTACTGAATTTTGGAAATTATGTGTCCTATCAAAGAATAACTTTTGTCATAATATCTTCCTTAGCTCACAGGACATTTATTAATGCCACTCCTGGTCCAGTCAGTTCAGCCACCATTTAGAGAAAGTCTACCATGTTCCAGGCAGCTACCAGCTTCTAAAGATCTAGAGACAAATAAGAACCAACTTTTCTTTGTTTCACAGAGTAGCACAGATGACAGGCATATTTACACCTAATTATAATGCACAGAGATTGAGGGTTATAATGGAGATATTGCTATGGGAACAAAAATGAGTGAACAACATATCTTGGTGGAGGTGCAGAAGGTATATTTACTGAAGAGAGGAAAGTAAAAAGAGGGAGATTTGTAATCTCTGAGGAAGAGTATTCAAGGGCTTAGACACAGTTTGGTTGTATTTTAAGCAAGGAAATCAATGATGGATTGGTAAAAAGTTAACTCCGGGGCAACTTTTTTTAAGCATTGGTAACCTGTGAGAAAATGATCTATAGTAAATATTTCTTTTTATTCCTCAGGCAGTACTTAAAGCACTGTTTTTAGGAGTTAGATGTTTTCCTTATACTACTTTTTTAATAGTAGTAATAACCCTCTCAGGTAAGAGTTGTTAATTTTTTTGTAGAGATGAACAAATAGGTTCAGAGAGAATGAGCAAGTGGTTCCATTTACACAGTTAATAATCACCACCAATTGTCTGTCTGATTGAATTAAATATAAGAGGGAAACATATAGAAATGAGGAGATAAATTGCAGCCTTGATAGAAAAGGAGAATTGTGTTTGTGCTATGGTTCTTTTGTGGTCCATAGCAATTTAATTCTTTGTGATGAACGTAACACTGATAATACCAAATTTCAATGACCACATATTCAATTCATAATAAACATTTATTATAAATGCCAACAAAATTGGTAATTTAAAGAATTCTCTATTTTTAAAAAAAGAAGACAAATAGATTACTTTTAATTATATCTAGTCTTTTCCTCAGCCTGTTCTATTCTGATAAAGGCTTAAGAAGGAAATGGTTCTGATAGAAAAGAACTACCCTGAAATGTGGATTAAGACTTGTCACCCATAGAAATCCTAGGTTCCACAGCTGTGACCAATCCATGGCATTCAAAGTGGATCTCTCAAGAAGAAGCACTGTAGTTAAGAAAATTTCTAAAAGAATTTTGTTCATTCTTGAGTCAAAACTTTGATGAGATTAAAACATTTTGTTCCACTTCTGGGGTCTCAGTGTTGAACAATTTTAGCCTCTTTAAGATGAAAATACTTTTCTTGAGGTTTTTAATTTTTTTTTTAACTTCAATATCTTTTGGGGTACAAGTTTTCTTTTTTTTACATGGGTGAGTTACATAGGTGAATTCTGAGATTTTAGTGAACCAGTCAGCCAAGTAGTGTTTATTGTACCCAATATGTAGTTTTTTATCCCACAACCCACTCCCAATTTTCCCACTTGGAGTCTTCAGGGTCCATTATATCACTCTGTATGCTTTTGCATACTCACAGCTTAGCTCCCACTTATAAGTGAGAACATACAGTATTTGAGTTTCCATTCCTGAGTGACTTCATTTAGAATAATGGCCTCTGGCTTCTTCCAAGTTGCTAGTAAAAACATTTTTACGTTGCTTTCTGTGGGTGAGTAATATTCCATAGTATATATATACCACATTTCCTTTATCCATTCATGGGTCGATAGGCACTTAGGGTGGTTCCATATCCTTGTAATTGTGAATTGTGCTGCTATAAACATACCTGTGCACATGTCTTTTTCATATAATGACTGGATAAAAGTACTTTAAAACAACTAATGATTCCAACATTATTTCCAGTGGTACTGGTAATGCATTCAGGCAGAAATTTTTTTTTACTCCTGGATTTTTATCTGAACTAATGCACTTTTTGTATGCCAATTGCCAATTAAAGTTTCTGATTTTTTGCATTGCCCCTGAGATATTTTATAGCCTTGGGCAAAAAAGTGTACTCTTCCAGACCACAAAGATAAATGGAGAAAATAGTGCCTTTCCTTAATTTATGGCGCTGTTGTAATCATTTAATGTGTGCAACATGCTAAATGTTGTCATTATGGTACAGTATTGGATTTCTTTGTTGTATTACGGAGCAGAACATTCAATAATAATAAGATAGAACAGCTTTTTCTAACAACTTGTGTTCAAGCCACTGATAATAATGAAATTATGCCAGATGAACTTATTCTCCAACCTCTTCCTGAAGAGTCAGTGGGATACAAAATGTTTGAGTGAGGAAAAGCATTAATGGACAGAAGGAAAGTGTAGTCATTACTCTGGGGAATGACATAGTTGAACAACTGAACATGCTTTTCAGAAATGATTACACTCATAACTATCAGTTGTACTAGTTCGGCCTTGAAAATACAGTAGCTATCCCATTTTACAACATAATGTATAGTTATGTCATATAATTTTACTGGAATCTTCTAATGTAAGTTCCCATTGTTAGCAGTGAAAGAAACAGCTGGTCACAAGTACATTGTTTGAAAGAGCAAGATGAAATAGAAATTTTTTATAAGAGATGCATTCCTGTAATGTAGATGGTGAATCAAAGTCTTTAGAGTAAGAGTTTTATTGCAATAATTTATTATAAACATTATATTATAATGTCTTTAGTTCACTACTATAATATCCTTGGTTCTTTGAGAAATCCTCTCCCTCCCACTATTCAATAAAAATATCTGATGCACTTTTTCAGGGCTTATGAAAACAATAAATATTGTGACAAATGACTGTTATCATGTCTATGGCGTCTCATTTGAGTACAGATTCTTTTGGCGCAGAACAAACAGGGCCAATGACTTAACATTAGGCTTAATCAGTTATCCTAGAAATTTAATATTGAATAATTCTTTAACTTTGGGTAATAGTTAATCATAGCTACTAGGCATTTTTTTTTAACATCTGTTCTTTCAGGGAAAAAAAAAAAAAAGAAAACATCATATAATCAGGTCTTCCTGAAATTCTGTTCAATGTGTTTCTGCCTAATTCTCCTCCAGGACTCTGTTTGTTTCTTTAATGACCAAGATTTCTTTTAGATGAGTATTAAATTCTTTGAGTTTGTAACGCAACACTTGCAAATATTTCGCTAGAAATTTATACACACACATCTGTCATTTTATTCTACAAATTGATGTTTTCTCATTCTATAACATAAGGAACTCAGTATTTAAAGTTCAAAGCAATCACCACTTTAACAAACTCTTGAGCTTGTAGTTGAAAGTTCACACACATTTTACAGAAGAGAAACACAGCTAGAGAAAAGAGCCTAATCATATAGTCAGTAACTTAGATTCATGATGACTATTCTGTCTTGAATTAAATAAGCTACCCTTATTTGAATAGTTTGGGGGACATCTAACTAGTATGTTTTTAATGTATATTTTCATTAACATTTCAGATTACTCATTCATTCACTAACATTTTTGGTACATGTGCCATGTACACTATTCTAGATATGTGGGGTTTTTTAGTGGTTAAAATTGTCAGGTTAGAAGCCAGATATTATTTATTAGGAATTTACTTCAGCTCTCCATTTTGTAATTTCCTTGTGTCTGAGAAATTGTATCTACTTTGTAGGGTTTTTGTGGGTATCAAATACATAAAAACATATGTAAAGAATAAAATGAAGCCTGAGCCATGTTATGGTATCAAATCCTAGATACTATTAATTACTGTATTCTCATTTAATCCTCACAATAAGCCTGTTGGGTAATTATTATTATTCTCATTTTGCAAGGAGCCATGCTATCCTAAATTATACGTCTAAGAAATTCCAGAATTCAGATGAACTCTTAGAATAGTCCGAATTTCAAAATCATGTTCTTTCCATTACATTGATGACAGGACATTTCAGGCAAAATAAATATTGTGAGCATAAGCATATTGGTGTTGAAATCAGAATGTTTCATGGTGGTCTACTGAGAATTTACCCCTCTTGATTTTAGAGTTGTGGGTAGGTAATGTTGAATAGTTGGATGGCCAGTTTAAAGACAATCTGAAAAGACAGGCATTATAATAGGAATTTGCTGAGGTTGACATTTGAAGACATTGATTATATTTAGGTATGTCTTAAGATGGCAGGAAAAGATAAATCTGTTTGGAAGGGGACAAGATTAGCAAGACAAGTGAGGATGATTTTGTAGGAATCTAGGTGTGAGGTCACACAGCCAGACTAAAATGGTGTCGGTTAATAAAACCATGTCCAGAAAACCATAGATATTTATAAGAAACAAATGATACGTTGATAGACTATAATAGGTGAATAAGGGGAAAGAGTACCTTACTTTCTGACTTGAGAGATTGGCCTCCTTCACCTAGTAAATAAATCAAAATGGAATACATGCTATGTGTCTGCCCTTGTGTTTAGCACCATGCAGTAAGTGGTAGAACTAGAACTTGAACTCTGGGGTGTTTTGCATGAAGGTCCTTACTCTCAATTTCACTATACTGCCTCCAACCTATGAGTGCCATTTAGCTATTTTGATTCTCATTCTACAGATGAGGAGAATAGGGCTCAAAGATGCCTCAGGTTGTCTTAACAACAGAGTTATCAGTTGTAAAATTCAGAACCTTCGAAATCTTGTTTTGTACTTCATTATTATTGAATTCTTTTATAGTTCTTTTAGCATAAGTGTGAGTCTCTATGAAAAATTATTTTATTTACTTGAGGTTATGCTGTGCCTCATATGTTTGATGACACATTGGTTCTATTTGCTCTGTGTGTGCGCCTGTGTGTATGTTATATACCTAGGCTTGAGCAGGGCAGGGGAGGCAAAATTTCCTCATTGTCCAGAGTGGAACCTCTCAGTCTTTCAAAGGAGACTCCTGCATTGGGCATTGGAGATGTCTTATGCTTTTTGCCTTTGCTACACACTTCTGATCCCGGAGAAACGATTTTCATTCTCCAGCAATGATTTAAAAAATAATTTATCACAAAAATTAAATAGATTGCACTGTAAAAATCATATAATTACTCCTGTAAAACTACAGATGAAAGCATGCACAGAAAATTATAGTGGAAAGTTTTTAATTAGCTTCTGATTAACTGTAAGCTTATGTTTTAAATGTACCATGCAGAACCTTATAACAAGTAGGCATAAATTAAATAGTCACTAATATGTATGTAGCAAAAATATTAATACGGCTGCTACTAGGGATTTTCACTGGCATATTTTTAATTTTTTTTTTTTTTACTTTAAAGTGGAGTAGATTCTGTAGAGTTGGGGTATCAATCACATGATCATTAAAAGGGCAAAATATTTTTTCAAAACTTGTGCAATAATCTTTACCTAACTGGCTATGTGGTTGGTGATTTGTTCCTCTCTTAAAGAGCGAACAGGCGCTCTTTCAAATGGAGATGCTTACATGATTTCATGTATATTCTTAGTTTTCATGGGAGACCTATCCCTTCAGTAGAAGGAAATGCTAGCTTTAGGTCACAGCAAAACTAAGCTTTATTTTTCCCATTTTGTCTAGTCTATGTTTCACATGTTAAAGTTGTGAATTGGACACTTAATTTGAGTGAGAGTCAGGGTATTTTTCAAACTATATTTAGTGACTTTAACTTGCTGAGTGACCTAGGACAAGTCATCTAAGCTCTCTGGGCCTTAGTGTTCTAACTGGTAAAATTAGAAGGTTAAATTAAATGATCTTTTTACCTAGTGTCAAATCAAAAGAATCACATTTCTATATTAATTGTATTTTTAAGGTTGTTGGTACCTAGGTTCTTTTAATAATATCTTGGAAATAAAACATTATTATATTCTTTAAAATGTACATATAACAATTGTACATATTTATGGTATGTACCATATTTATGGCAAAATGTGATGTTTTGATAAATGTATAAATTTTGTAATGATCAAATCAGGGTAATTAACATAGCCATGACTTTAACATTTATAGTTTCTTTATGATGAGAATATTAAAAAAGTCTCTTCTAGCTATTTTAAAATATGGAATACATTATTGTATTATATATCATAGTAGTCATCCTGCTGTGCAATAGACTACCAGACCTTATCCCTCCTATCTTACTGTAGATTTGTACTCGTTGACAAATATCTCTACAAGTGTTTTTCACAAAGAAGCCCCTCAGTATTCTGACATGAGGAAAAGCAACGAACTTGCTTTCCATTTATGCAAATTAGATTGTTAACTTCCTATGCAACTAGGAATACTTAACAGTACTTAACAATATTTATATTGTTCCTTTGGACATAAGTATGGCTATGATTGCCCCCACCTCCCAAAAAAACAACAAAAAGGAATCATAGGAAACAATTTTTAAACTTATTTTCAATTTTTTTTATTATTGATTAAATAAAAGCACAACTTAACAAAATATAGGCAGTCTTGTACTTTATATACAATGATCCTTCTGGGGAGACATGGAAATTCATCTGTCTTCCTCAAGCCAAGTGGGACTGTTCTGTCCTAGGAGAAGGGATTTTTAAGGAGTGGGGAAGGAAGGGGAAAAAAAGGAAATCTTTTCCTTATTGTCACCACTGCTTACCCTTTTCAAAGAAGTATCTTCGGTTCTTAGAAATCCCATGCCCAGGGTGAAAATGGAGAGAAAGAAAACACAGGAAGAAGAGAGTATATATAGAGAGGGAGGCCAGGGAACTAGGAGAACAGAATGAGAGGCAAGGTAATCTCTCTCACCCTTTTAGGAAAGGACTCTCATTGCCTGTGCTCCTTCTTTACCTGACAAGCTGCAGTTGCCCCTACCTCTACTGTTGCTTTTGTTCCTCTGTAATAAAGAGGTAGAGAAGAAGGGAAGAAGAACAGCTGAAAAGCAGAGAAAGGAAAGAAGAGTTGGCAGTGAAAGGCAAACTCATAGATTGCCTTAAAACTTCCATGGCTGCCACTTCTGGCCCCCTGTCCCCACTGCTTCATCACCATGGGCTGAAGCTAGCATTTAAAGGGGGAGGAAAAGAGAGAGGAATCTGAAGACAGGAAGCTCTAGTCTCTTTCAGTATCCACTGTGTTCTTCATCTACCCACCCCCTCCCCTCATCTGACACCTTGCCTAGGACAAGGGCTCTTAACCCCTGAGCTTCCAATAGTCCCTAAATAAGCTGTACAATGTTTTTTACTCTGTGAAATTGTAGGTAGAGTTTGGGTGTCTTTGGGGCGGGGAGGGTTCATAGAGTTTCTCCGATTTTTAGATACACCCAGCATAACCTAACTCACCTGTGCTTTTTAATATTCTTCTTTGGCTTCCATAGGCTCTTCTGAAAACCTAACCACTATATGCACAAAGTTCTTACCATTGGAAAACACCTTTAAATGATACACAGAGAAAGTTTCCAGAAAAATCATTTCAAGGTTGGAGAAAACCTATTATACTTTTTTAAATAAAATAGGAAATAATAAGCTGGATTGAGGTAATATATATTTGGCTCCTACTCACACAAAAATTTTGAAAAAGAAAAAAAATGTTTAATTTATTTTTTAATTATTCATTTGTAATCACGAAATATCTGAACTAAATATTTGAATCTCTGCAAAGGCTGGGAGTTGCTATGTGTTGTTGGGACCACACTACTCTCATATCCTGTGTAAATACCCCATGACTGAGTAAATATTATCATGCAATTTTAGAATTAGAAGTTTAGATGTTTTGACCTAAATGTTTTCCAGGGTTAAAATATCCTTCTTACAGAACAGTGATCCTCATAAGTTTAAACAGACTGGAAACAATAAAGCCTAAAAAGAAAATCATGCACATCAACAATTTTCTTTCTATCTTTCAACTTTAATTTTCACCCTTATAGCCCTAAACCACTAATTTGAAAAGATTTTTCTAAAAGTTCATCTTTCTAATATATCATAATATTTCTTTTTTTCTGGCCCTGGAAGAGATTGAGTACTCCGTATTTTTTAAATATATAATGGATATATTATAAATACTAGAAATGAGTACAATACTATTATTTAATTTTGTGCCAATTTCATGAATGAGGAAACTAGATATTGAGCAAAGTGCAAAGATAGACATTACAGTCCTGACCTCTGGTAAGTATTTCAGAATTGTCACTTTCAAAAGGTAATTCAAGAACACTGTATTTATGTATCTCTCAATAAGTTCACTATTTGCCTCTCCTATAGAAACATGGTAGTTGTTGTGTGAACCATTATCCAAAGCAAAGTTAGATCAATACTACTGAAGTAAATAAATTGAAAACTATATTAAAACTGAAAAATGTGGTTGTGAGGACATGCAAGAAAAACAATGTGGTGCTACTAGCCTGGAATTGGTATGAATAAGCCCTTTAAAAAAGAAAAAATGAATCCTTAATCTTTATGCCTTAGTATCTTACAATTCTCCATTAACCTTTGATAAAACCATCATATTGGGCACAAAAGAAACACAGTCAATGAATTTTTCTTGATATTCTTTTTTACAGGAAAAAAATCAAACAATGTGATTCATTATAAAACCTATGGTCAGAATCAATAATCTATGCCTTCATATCATGCCTGTTTAGATAATAATTATTAAGCCACCATTTAAAATTTTTTAAACTCAAATTCCATCTGCAAAAAATCTATTTTGCTTTTAAAACTTAATATTAGGTTTCAACTTTACTTTCTGTCATCCTTCTTTTGGTTGCCACATCAGTAGACTCAGAATAAAAGCATCTGCCCAAAGCAAATACACTGGAGTTCACTGTCAAACAGAGATTCCCAAGAAACCAAACAGAAAAGGAATAAAAATGAGAAGCATGTTTTATTAAATGTCTTCTACACCTGCTTCCTTTATCTTTTAGACCTGCTTACCAAAGCCCATTGGATATTTTGATTTTTTAAGTCACAGGCATATGAACTAGCTTGAACATTTATAGTATCAAATTATTAAAGGTAATGACCTGGTATTTAAAAAATGATGTTCCACATCTAGGGGATCTCCATGAAAGCTTTTCAGCTGAATAAAGGTTATAATTGTTAAACAAATTGGTTATTTATTAAGCTAGCACTATAAACAAAAAGAGTATTTAAACAGCTGGTATCCCTGTGACCCTACCTTTAATCTTCTCCAGAGAAAATGTGACAAGAAGTGATATTTAACAATAATTTTAGAAAATGTAATGAACACCAATTGATTATGTAACTTGCATTTTATTTTCAAAATTACATTAAAATAGTATGCAACTATTCATTTAAATGCATTTTAGAATTAAAATGAATTATTTTCACCTACAAAACTTATGTTTAAAAATGAGATAGTACTGTTTTATTATTGATCTACATTAAATTAGCAATATGTTAAAATTCATTTCTATATTGTAATGCTTGGAAAATTATAAATTTTTGAACTTTTTAAAGCTATGCTTGAAAGTTCAAGAGAGCCTTACTCAGTAATGAAAGTTAAACAAACAAATTAATAATACATAAACAAAAAGGTTGTTTATAACCAGTCCTGCACAATTTTAAATCTATGCAGTAGAGCAATGTATGATAATTTTAATAAACACACAATATATCAACACATTTTCATGGACACTATATTTTTAAATAGAAATTTAATTTTGGAATATTTTTAAATGTATAGAAAAGTTGTAAAACTAGTACAGAGTTTCCTTATACTTTATACCCACTTTCTTCTATATTAATATCATATTTATAGTACATTTATCACAATTGAGATAATATTGATATATTATTATCAACTAAAATTCATATTTTATTCAGTTTTCTTTTTTAGTTTTTACCTAATGTCCTTTTTCTGTGACATTTACATACCACTTTATGTTTAGTCATCGTGTCTCTAAGTTCTTGGCTGTCACAGTTGTTGAAACTTTACATTTTTAAAAATAATTTTGACAGTTTTGAGGGGTATTGGTCAGGTATTTACTAGAATGTCTTTTTATTTGAAATTGTCTGACATTTTTCTTATGATAATATTGGGATAACAGTCATTGGGTTTTGGGAGGAAAACAACAGAGGCAAAATGGCATTCTCATCACATTAAATCAAGGGTACTTACTGTTAACATGATTTACTACTGTCCTTGATCCCCTGGCTAAGTTGGTGTTGCCGTATTTCTCCACTATGAAGTTACGCTTCTTCCCTTTTTTCATTTTGTGGTCTTTAGAAGGAAGTCACTATGCAAAGCTCACACCTCATGTTCCAGAAGCTGCTTTTCCAAGGAGTGAATATTTATCCTCCACCCTTTTGAGTGTGGAGCATTTACTTAAATTGTTTGGATTTATGCTCTGCATGAGAGACTTATCTATTATCTTCCATTTTAAAATGTATTTAATCATCCTATCAGTATGGACTCATGAATATGGATATTATTTTATACTATGAATTATAGTCCATTACTACTCTATTTTGTTGCTCAAATAGTTTCAGACATTATCTTTTGAACTACTTATGGTTGGAAGTTCCTAGCACAATGCCAGAAACATAGTAGACGTTAATGGTAATTTAGTGTGAACCTAAACTTAAAAATATGCTCATGGGCCATTTTTTAATTTAAAAATAGAAAGTATATTCTATTAAGAGGTACTCGATCCCTAATTGCAAATCCCCACTTATATCCTTCGAAACAAAAAAAAAAAAAAGAGGAGACATGGTATATAATTTAGATATTGCCACAGTAATGTGGCATTGTATACAACCATGAAACTCAGCAGCAGACAACAATGAAAATGTATTTAGCTCATGAATCTATCAGGGTAAGCTGATCTGGGTTAAGTTTGGCTGACTTGGGCAGGGCTCACTCATATGTGTATATGGCAGAGGTGGAGTGGTCACAGGGGGAGTCATCTGGAGCTAGTAATGCCTCAGATGACATAAGTGGAGCAACTCAGCTCTGGTCCATGGTTGCCTCTCATCATGAAGCAGGACAGCCTGAGCTTGTTGTCATAGCGATGAGCAAAGGCAAGTAAGCAAAATGTGTAAGTGCTTTCTGCTTGTATCCCATTTGCTATCCTTACAGTGGCCAAAGGACAGCATAAGGTGAGCCCAAGTTCAAGAAGTGGGGAAATAGACTGTAACTCCGTGGTGCCAGAAACTGCAAAGTCACATGGCAAATATAGTGTCTACAGGAAAGGGTAAAGAATAGAGACCATTAAACCAATCAATCTACCATGCATTAACTATACAAAGGAACGAGTCTAAGCTCTCATGGGTGTGTGTTTATTATTTTTGAAATCAGTTTTCACCCTGTTTTTGTTATGAATTATGACAGTGAGTGGAAGTGCAGCATTATCATTAACTATGTCATATTTCAGAAGCCGTTCTTCCCAAACTGAGGACCAAATCATTTAAAAGTATGATAGTAATTTACTTTTCAATTCTGCACTCATTTTAGATTATAATGAAATCTTACTGAACAAATGCTTTTTAACAGAGTATGTTTCCAATATGAATGAAGATTTCATGCAGCAAAACTTGAGCTGTAATAATGAACAGGTCTGAAAAAACGAAAGAATAAGCTAAGCCTATAAATCTCTTCCATATACATTTATGACAGAATTAGACATATGAATACTCTATTCTTAGAGAATATTCAGTAAAGCATAAACTCTTACTTATAATGAGGTCTCCATGGAAATGCTCTTTCAAATAGAGTTATTGACAATTGCAAAATATACAACTTGCAAATTTTTCGTTTTAGGGTTTGTTTAAATTAAGCTTTAAGAATTCATGCATATCAAATCCTATTTTTTTCTGTAGAAAAATTCAAATAAAATCATCTGAAATAAGTCCCCTTTTTCTTAAAACATTTGAAAATAATGTATGAAATGTAATTAAACATAAACTTCAATGTTCATATCTCAAGTTCTAAATACAATCCTGGAAGAAGCAGTTTCTATTACACTTCCCATAGAAAACTGCTTATGTTTGAGGTAGCATTTTGTTTTGAAAAAGATGTGAGCTTCAGATCCTCCAGGAAGCTCTAGGTAGATATTCCGATTTTCTCTTTTGTAAAATTGGTTTAAAAGGTTTTTGTTTTTTTAATCTCTCTGATCCTCGGTTTCCTCATCTGTAAAAAGGAAGTAATCTGCCTGCCTCATATGGGTTTTAATGAGAATTAAGTGTTACATAAAATGTCAAACTTAGCACAGCGCTTCACACATAACAAACTCCTTACTAACTCCTTACTCCTGCCTTCCAAGATGTACACTTTTACATTTACTTACTTAGTACTCCACTCCAATAGTTTTCTTTTGCATAATAGAATGCAAAATGCATACTAGAAAGGAAATTGTCCTGCAGAGTTTCAGCAAAACAAATGACTGGCACAAACCAGTATGTTATTACAAGGATTTATATACACTCTTGTTCTAATCATATTCTGTGAAACGTAACAGGAGCATATATTAACCAGCTTCATATAACCAATTTTCCAAACTAATATCAACACTAAAAAGATTTTCAGGTATATTAAGCTGGAGAACTTTGTTCAGAAGACTTTAAGAAGTGGCCATATAGGAAAGCAATCAGGATTGCAAACATTAAACTTTAGCATAAATACCACTTGTTCCTCCTTTCAGAGACAATGAAAACTCTTGCTTATGGCTATAATAATCAGGCTACAAGGATTTCTAAGAACTGTTCTTAGTTTAATTTTTCTGCTATTGCCAGATGCTTTTCACCATTCTAGGTGCCCAAATCCTGAAGCCAAATTTAATAAAGGAGAAACAGGCCTAATTGATAAATGGATGTTCAGTATGCGTTTTCCAGTCAGAACTTGCCTTGGCTTAGTGGAACATTCTGGTAGTTCAGGCAAAAAGTGTTTCACTACAAGATCCTGAACACTATATTGCATAGAATATTTGAAAACCAGTGATGTCCAAGTCACTAAATTCTTCCTTTACTTCTTTCGGATGGGACTAAAGAGAAGGAGTAGCTTGACCTTGCTTCTATCACCTTAAGAAATATATGCACACTCTCAAACAAGCTGATACACTGAACACTGGATTATAGACAGTGCATTTAAATTTTGTAATGGATATCTGATGAACTAGTCAGAGGGATTGAATCTACCAATTAAAGTCTGTCCCACTGCAAAAATAGTCCTCCTGGGTCTGTTGCCAGGAAGAAGACTGAGTAATTAAGATCAATGCAGTTTTTTTTTGTATTCTGATGTCCATCCCCCAAAACATCACTTATTTCATTGTCCCACCAAGGGGGATATAGGAAAGGGCTTTCTATCACCTTAAGAAATATATGCACACTCTCAGACAAGCTGATATACTGAACACTGGATTATAGACAGTGCATTTAAATTTTGTAATGGATATCTGATGAACTAGTCAGAGGGATTGAATCTACCAATTAAAGTCTATCCCACTGCAAAAACAGTCCTCCTGGGTCTGTTGCCAGGAAGAAAACTGAGTAATTAAGATCAATGCAGTTGTTTTTTTGTATTCTGATGTCCATCCCCCAAAACATCACTTATTTCATTGTCCCACTAAGGGGGATATAGGAAAGGGCTTAATTATAAGACTGGTCAGAAAATATAAGACAAAGGTATCCTTGACATTAAGAATTTCATGATTCATAACAACTTTAAAATATTGTCTATTCTCCATATGAAGTGACTTTCCCTTTTAAATTATTTGGTATTTATGGAACTAATAATGTGTTGTGCTAACACAGAGCTTTTCATCCAAGAACTTCAAAGCACTCTTTATTTGTCACATTCTGTGATCATTTAGTTTGACTATAAAATATTTTATGATTAATATTGGAGCGAGAAAACATGCAGGAAAACAAAGTATAATATTGGGGGAAATTTCAAATACATAAGATTTCATCCTGACTAATTATCTCAGTTTTCTGTAGCCCATGGTAAATTAGGATGAAATATGCTTGCACTTAAAACTTAGCTTTGCTAACATCTGTTTCTTTTAAATTAGATTTTAATTTAAAATGGCTTGTCCTTACTTCAAAAATATGAGATTATTTTTCCTCCGATTTTGAGTTTTTCACTAAAAATCTTATATATTAATATATATAAATGTATTCTACATTGGCCTTTTTATCCTCTTGGGCAATTACTAAAGTAATTCATAGACCTGTTCTTACTGGTAAGTAGGGATAAATTAAATTGTCAGGACACTAAAGTAACATTAGATAAATTATGTTTCACTGACTTAAAGACAGTTAATTCTCTAGAAATGAAGCAGTTTATTTCTTAACTCATGGGTAAGTTTATATTGGAATTTTGAAGGTGCTCGTGAAATCATTGTTTAAATGAGGTCTTATTTAGTTGAGCACCTAATGAAATTTCTTGCCATTTCTCCCAGTGATTATACATGTATATGTAAACTGTCAACCAGTTTCTTCATGTGAAACGCATCCTAAACTTAATATTTTAAAATCCTTATATATGTGATTTAAGAGCAAGCCTCTGGAGAGAAACTGTTGTATGAAAATAAGTAAAATCATTGTTTGGCTTGCTATATTATAGTCTTTGCCTATGCTACTAATCAATGATATGGCATCAGGCAATTCCTTAACTTTCTTCAACTGTAAAACAAGGGCATACAGGTTAATGACTCCTCAGGTCATTTTAGGCTTCTATATGATTTAATACATGATCACTTTCTAAAATATGTATTTTTTTATCTGTTTCTAAACCATGCTTATGGTTGTTTACTACTGACAAAAATATAAGATTAATTATAACTGATGTCATACCTATAGTCAGCAGTGCTGAAGCAACCAGTGACAAGTCATACAACAAAAAACGTGTCTCCTAGAGCTGTTAACAGTAAAATAAAATCCACTCTTACTGCTTCTGAATTTAAATCCGAGTACTTTCCTGAGTAAATAAAAGGAGGACACAAACCCTGCTGGACGTTTCTGAGAGCACATTATGACTGTCACTATTTTCTTTCCATTGCTATCATATGACTCAATGTCAGCACAGTGCTATTCATTTTTACTCTTTATAGGGCCATAAGTAATTGATAAAATGGTATTGGAAGATTCATTTGTTATAATTCTTTTAGTAGCAAGTAATAAGATGCTATCTCAAACTAGATTACATAAAAATGAAATTTATTGGGTCACATAAAACTTAGAAATAATGGGGTAGGACTGGCTGCAGGCCTAGAATCCAGAGCCTATATGATGCCAAAATGCACATCTTACCATTGCTTCACTTGTGTATTAGTCCATTTTTATGCTGTTGATAAAGACATACCCAAACCTGGGAAGAAAAAGAGGTTTTTTTTTGTTTGTTTGTTTGTTTTTTTTTGAGACGGAGTCTCGCTCTGTCGCCCAGGCTGGAGTGCAGTGGCGCGATCTCGGCTCACTGCAAGCTCCGCCTCCCGGGTTCACGCCATTCTCCTGCCTCAGCCTCCCGAAAAAGAGGTTTAATGGACTTAACAGTTCTACATAGCTGGGCAAGTCTCACAATCATGGTGGAAGGCAAGAAGGAGCAAGTCACATCTTACATGGATGGCGGCAGGCAAAGAGAGAGCTTGTGCTGAGAAACTCCCGTTTTTAAAACCATCAGATCTCATGAGACCCATTCACTGTCACAAGAACCAGCACAGGAAAGACCTGCCCCCATGATTCAATCATCTCCCACCAGGTCCTTCCCACAACACATGGGAATTATGGAAGCTACAAGATGAGATTTGGATGGGGACACAGAGCCAAACCATATTAGTTTGGTTTTCCCTTGTCTTGACTTCATTTGGACAACTTGTTGCCAGTGTATTTTAGGATGGCAGGGATTAAAATCCATCCATTCAACAACTTCAGTGTAAACAGTTTATTTTATTTTATTTATTTATTTATTTTTGAGACGGAGTCTCACTGTGTCGCCCAGGCTGGAGTGCAGTGGTGCGATCTTGGCTCACCACAAGCTCTGCCATTCTCCTGCCTCAGCCTCCCGAGTAGCTGGGACTATAGGTGCCTGCCACCACACCCGGCTAATTTTTTGTATTTTTAGTAGAGATGGGGTTTCACCGTATTAGCCAGGATGGTCTTGATCTCCTGACCTCGTGATCTACCCGCCTCAGCCTCCCAAAGTGCTGGGATTACAGGCATGAGCCTGTATTTAATTTTTTTAAATTAATAGTTCTAGCAAAAGTTCTTCAACTGAGTCTTCTTAGTTTAGTGTAGCTCACATGTCCATCTAAATCAATCTTATGATTCAATAAGATGGACTCTTTCTTCTGGCCAAATTAAGCATGTGCACATCTCTTGAGCTGGTCAGGGTTGGAGTGGGGAATGAAGTCAACTTTCCTGAACTGCATAAACTGAGTACTGGGGAGGAGTGATGATGCAATGACAGTCAGGGTGCTATTCCCAGAAGGGTGAATGACTGCTAGGTTATCACAAGCAATAGATATCCACTACAAACAAAAGTCAAAGAGGAAGAAAAAGAGAGTCAGAAAGGGAAGGACCATTCTTTCAACAACTGTATTTGAAGTGTTACCATGTGTCCTGTACACTGAGAATACAGATGTGAACAAAACAGACAAAAAATTCTTGTGTCCTTATGTAACTCTTAATCTGGTGGGAGAGACAGTGTATATGTTGACCTCTGGCAAAAATATTGGTGTAAAACACTTCATCATGTGGGAATTATTTGGATTCAAATATTAGGTCTAAGACTGGATTTGCTTGGTTAATTTCTCACTTTCATCCTCTGTAATTTTGAGGAGCTCAAAGTTGCTAAAGTTTTTTTATTTTACTTACAACTGATTGTTGCCTATAACAGAAATATCTAAAAATGTAATTATATATTTTTAAACCGATATCATCTATTATAAGTAATTATTTGCTTTGATTATTTTTCCTATACCTTTTGGAGAAATCTTTAGCTGTTTTTTTATAAGCCTTTCCCAATTTCTGAAATACTATATGTTTCTATGACAATAATAGGACTTCATGGCAAAAATGAGACTAAAACATTAGGACATTTCATCCACAATAATTAATAAGGAAGACAAGCTGAATGCATAAAGATATTCTGATTAATTCAACTATATTACATGAACCCTTTGGTACATAGATGGTAGGGAAATCCAATTAGCTATAATATTTAAGAGACTGCTGTCCTAATACATATATCATCTTTCTAGGATAATAGCTTCTTCCTCTGATTGTACATTTTTTTTCCTCCAAAGGAAGAAAAAGAAAATAATCTAACGTGGAAAATTTTTCTTTTGAAATCTACCCCAAAATTTATTACAATAGTGTAAAACTCCTTTTAAAATTTTAAATGTATTCAAAATACCATACTTAAACTATTCTATACAAATTAGAAGCAATTTATTTTATAGCTATAAATAAGAAGAGATTCCTAAACTCTCATATTTTATAGTAGGAAAATGTATATTTTTATCAATCTTAAATTTAGGCCACATTTATATTTTAAAGGAAATGGTGTAGCCTAAACTCAAAGTTTATTTGTAAATAAATAAGTCTCTAAACAATCACTCCTATGATGTAAAATAAACTTGAAAGCAAGAATTTTCCCTCTGCTGCCCACTAATAGCCTTTGCTTTCTAAACCTTTAGTCATATCTGTCATGTCCTTTAAAAAGAATGTGATCTTCCTTAAAGTATGAGCTTGATAGTCCAATTATTGATCTTCTGCTACTGGGTATGATGGAGAATCCTTAATTTTTCACAGACTATATACTGATCTAGTATATAGTCTACACTATATGTTTGTACTATATTATACAACTTTATACTATACTTAACATGTTTGCTTTTTACATAATTCCCCCATATTGCTGACATAATCTATTATTCATAATTCGGACTCCTTGGCATTTTACTTACTTATCTTTATACATAAGGGACACACATAATTTTATTTTTAAAATGTTAGTTAAGCTTTTAAAAAGTCTCAGAAAAACATGAAAAATCTCTATAATTCAATAATGTATTTATTCAGTATCTACTAGGGAGGATTTAATCGATAAATGTTAAAAGAAAATGTTTCACCATAGAATAGATACCAAAATTATATGATAATGAATTATCTAATTATTATGCAAACATTTTATTAGGTATATAGGTTTTATTATTTTCTTGTAATTCTCAATACTTGAATTTTACAAGTGTCACTGGCAAATGTTGACTAATGACAAAAATGTCAAATACTTGTCTCTGTGATGAAGCAATCATGTTGCTACAGATATTGTATAGAGACACAGCCCAGATGTGGTGGCTCACACCTGTAATCCCTGCACTTTGGGAAGCTGAGGATCTCTTGAGCCCAGGAGTTTGAGACTGCAGTGAGTTAGGATTGTGCACTGCACTCTACCCTGGGCCACAGAGTGAGATCTTGTTTAAAATAAATAAATGAAGGAAGGAAGGAAGGAGGAAGCAAGGAGGGAGAGAGGGAAGGAAGAAAGAAGGGAGGAAGGAAGAAGCAGAAATAATGTTATAATACTACAGACGAAGGTATATGAAATCAGGATGGTAATGACAGTTGCAAAATAGGTGAAAGCATTTGCTCTTCCTGCCAGAGCAAGATGGCTGGGGGGCCTTAGACAGTGAGTAATCAAAATTGGAAGCAGAAACTATGGCTTCCTAGTTGCTAGTAGCTAGGGTAATGAGTTAGAGAGTTAGGATTAATGATACAGGATTTGTATTTCTCACTAGTCAGGATCCAAAGAACTTTAGAATCATTAATTGAGAGTGGGAAGTGTAACCAGGTCTCAGAAGAAATTCTATTTAATTGTTTAAGTTATAGACCTATACTGAGTGCAAAGTTCCATAGTGGTGATGACACAGAGTGGACTAGAATCCCAGAGCAGTCATTATTTGAATGGTTTGTGCAATTGACATATGCCTCAGTTTTTGTTTTTGTTTTTTAACCAATAAGCATGGAAAAAAAAAACCTCCTATGTTAGTTTCTTATTTTTCATATATAGAAAGTCATATGGAATACTCCTGCTATATGGTAAGTACTCCACAAATTACAGTTACTAGGCTACAGATAAAGAAATGGTCTAATTTTGAAATAAGCTTATGATCTTTTGGAAAGTAAGTACCTTATATTATGGGAATTGGGTATGTGAATAATCGGGGCTCAATATGAAATTTTGAAGTTCTACCATTCTGAATTGGAAAATTGAAGCAAGTGTTGATCTGAAATCTAAAATGTCATGTGCACTGAGATCAGGATACACGTATTCAGAGAGCAGAATGAATTCAATCTCAAGGCAGAGGGAGTTAACTTCTGTGGCCTATTTATATTTCTGAAGGAGTCTTCCAGGCTGAAGGTCAGGGCAAAAAGTATAGTCATTTCTTGGAGTGCAAAATCCCTGTGATGCAGACACTGTTCTATTTGTTGTTGTCATTGTTGTTACTGTTGTTGATATTTGGCTATAACATAAGAGGAAAAGTGTGCTTATAGAGATATTTTCTTTTCTATTCTGTGAATATCATAAAAAGTAAGGTTAGTAAATGTTATAAATGAATTCTGTCAGAAAACACTTTATAAAAGGAAAAATCTCACACGCCATCCATTCAACAATATTTAAAGCCCACTTAGTATTTACAAGGAACTCTACTAATCAATGAAAATTAACGTGATCAGGCTAAAGCTTTTGAGGGGACCAGGAAAAAACCAAGTCATAACTAGAGAAAGCACCTTGGGGAAGTTTGGCTATAGAAATACAAAGGCATAGCATCTAAGTCAAATGAGGCGAAAGGAAGTCAAGAGAACATGAACCAGGAAGGGAACTCTCCTCCTAGGAGGTGGCACTTGAGAAGAGATAACAAAGAAAGCATTGGTTGCACAATTCTAATGTCAATAAGCAAAATATTCATTGATTATCTACTGCCCGTCTTAGAATAGCACAAAGGGCCTTTTCAGGCTTGTCTTATTTTGCTTAAATTTTGAGGTTGTGATGAAGTTGAAGAAGGGAGGATGGACTTGGAGAAAAACCTCCAAGTTATAACTTCTCAAAGGCAGTAATTAGAGAGTATCTCCTCTTTGTCTCTGATTCAGGACTCAGCTAAGGCCCAGCAAATGGGAAACTTCCTTTTTAAAAAAAGCCAGTGTAGTGCTGGCAGTCATTAAAGATTTGCTGAATTACTGACCTCTTATCGCCCACATGCCCTGGGGAATCTGTTAGCAGTCCACCACCTCTTGTCACTAATCAAGATGCCTTTATGTTAACACCTCCCTTTTAAAAGCAAATCAGTCAGGAAACTTAAGTAGATTAACACTTAATCATTAATTACCTCATGGGATAACCAAACAAATTTCTTTTCTGTTTAGGCTATCTCTGATCTTCTGCCCCAGGATATATTTTTCAGGCATTGAAGGACTGATGTGAGTTACTCTGGTAGTCCTGGCACTTAGGGTCTTGGTGAATCTGCTTGGGGAAAGGAATGAAGGCATGGAAACAGGACAGAAAGGTGAAGCTAGAGCAGAGAAAAAGCACTGAAAAGAAACTTCAACTGATTTTTAGTTTCACCTAGGGTATTTCTAGGAGTTAGAACCTCCATCCAAGAATGCCTGAGCTAATGTAAATTAAGATCTGACTTTATGTCTTGGTTCTACCCATCAATCATAATCACTCGGTTATTAACAGAGTATTTGCCAAAGGCCAATGGCACTTCGTGACCAAACAAGAAGAAAAGGAAATATGAAAGTTCTTAATATATAACTTTTCTTGTGGGTTTACATTTTCTTTTTTTTTTTAGTTCTGAATCAGGTAATTGATTCAGTTTTTCATGTTTGCACAGTTTATTTAACTATGTTAACTAAATGGTCTGAACAGAATAGTTGCTACCATGGCTTAAGTTACTGGTTCAGTGTCTATGGCAATGCATTAAATCAAGTTTCTGCTCCCAGTTTTATAAAAAGGAAAATTGACTAGATGAGAACATTGCCACCTTATTCATTATGTATAGCTCATTAGTTCCCTTGTCAACTTTCCTTTGCTTTTAATCAATTGAAAGAAAAAGTCTTCATGGATTTTTAGTAGGAAACATATGGAGCTGTAAATCATCAGTAATGTGTGAACTTATATTTACAGGTGCAACTGACCTTGACTGTGCATCCTTCCCAACTTACTTCTTATAAATCCTGTAATCAATAAGTGAAATAGTATTCCATACCCTTCATAATTCACCTTCCAATGTCTGTTTTTCCACACATCATCTAAGCTTCTATAAAACATTCTTTTCCTCTGTAATGGACTCCAATCCTGTTTATAAGTTTTATAAATAAGAGCTTAACATTTCTTCTCAATACTTAGAAATGACGATAAAAGAATTAGTTGACAAGATTGGTATCTTAAGAATTTCAACTCCACTTAAATATCTAAGTGGATGCTGCATTTTTTCAAAGAGTTACCCTGAGTGGCAATATATTCATTCCAAGAGTGTTGCCTTTGCACATAGATCATTGCAGCTATCCCTTTCAAATAGCATTTAGAATCTATTTTCAGATTTAAAAAATAGTCTAACATTAGTTTTAAAAAATAACCAAAGGTATTTAATGCACACCACTACATATTATTTCTTTCTATATACATTTGTGAATTTATTGGGAAGAGTAAACAGTTGGAGATGTGTCAATGCTGGGTTTGAGGTTGGATGAGATTTTATATTATTAAGTGGAGATTATTACATTAGAATGAGACTAGAACCAATCTATCTTGGGCCTTTATACTTCTTTTTTCTCCCTCAGGTTTGAGGTATCAGGACACATTTAGGGCCCTGTTACCTTTTAAACATAATATGGGCTCAAGTAAAATGAACTATTATTTTCAAAATATATTAACGCATTACAGGATGTTAGCCAAGTAAATTTTTATACATATTTATTTTACTTTAAGTGAATATTTAAAATACATTTTCAGTTTGTTTCTTAGGATAAGTGAGAAAAATATCAAATATTTGAGAGAAAAAAAGATTTTTAAAAAGAGCGAGAGTTACTCATAAAAAATGAGTAAATTCGGCCAGGCGCGGTGGCTCACGCCTGTAATCCCAGCACTGTGGGAGGCTGAGGCGGGTGGATCACGAGGTCAGGAGATCGATACCATCCTGGCTAACATGGTGAAACCCCATCTCTACTAAAAACACAAAAAATTAGGCGGGCGTGGTGGCGGGCACCTGTAGTCCCAGCTACTCGGGAGGCTGAGGCAGGAGAATGATGTGAACCCGGGAGGCGGAGCTTGCAGTGAGCCGAGATCGCACCACTGCACTCCAGTTTGGGTGACAGAGCGAGATTCCGTCTCAAAAAAAAAAAGAAAGAAAGAAATTACATTTAATAAAACTGATTCCTTCAACTTTAAATACATATACTTTTTAAGATAAGGTCTCCTTCTGTTGCGCATGGTGAAGTATAGTGAGTATAGCTCACTGCAGCCTTGAACTCCTGGGCTAAAGGGATCCTCCCACTTGAGCCCCCTGAGTAGCTTGGACTACAGGTCACCATGCCTGGCTAATTTAATTTTTTGTGTATAGAGATGGGGATCTTGCTATATTGTCCAGGCTAGTCTCAAACTGCTACCCTCAAATGATCCACCTATCTTGGCCTCCCAAAGCCTGGGGATTACAGCCATAAGCTACCTCGCCCAGCCAAGATTTTGTTTCTATTTTGGGTGCACCCTTTATAAGAGATCAAGTACACCATTAACATGTTATGTGTATTACTTGGAAAATGAAATGGAAACATTATCCATTCAATCACTAATTCTCTCAAGAAGACATGCCTATATTCCCAGGGGCTAAATTATATATTTTTTCTAACTGCATTCCTAACTCCCCAGCTTTCTCCAGATCCTGATATGTCTCCTCCCTGTTCTATTCATTTCCATTGTGTTGAAAACCATACTCTGCAAGGCGCAGTGTGTCTGACTGAAGTATATTATGCACGCGAGCTTTCCAAAAGCTGAAAAAAATATTGAGAACCAATGAATAAAACCATAGGTATCTAAAAGACATTGAATAATAATAAGAGATATACAATAGAATTTAAGAATTCATTAATAAAAAGTATAACTGGAGTTTTTCTAAAATAATGGACTCTTAAACCAGTAAAATATATATCTAATTTAAAATGGTTTCTTTTAAATTATAATAAAACATATACATGTAGGCACATCTTATTAAACAATGGACAAATGTAGAACTAAATTTCATTTCCACTTAAAAAGGCACAGGCAGGTTTCAAATGGTTCTGCATATAAACTTGCTGACATGAATAATTTTAAATCAGGCCAGTTATAGCTTTCATTCTTTGAACTGAATTCAAAACTCTCTTACTTTTACATTATTAGAGAGATGAATCAAATGTTTCTATAATGCCTACTTTCATTCAATCCACACCCAATTTTAGAGGACTGCTGTCACAATGCCAAAAAAACATAGACTGAAGTTTTAATAATGTTTCTTATATGATAAAGAAATTCTAGGGTAATTTTATAGCACAGTATAAGTGCTGAACTTGTGTTATACCTTTCAAATAACAGTAACCACCTCTAATTTCTTAAAGGGCTCTTTAAAAAAATGCATGGTATGTCCATCATAGAGCAAGAAATGCCTCTTTTTATAATATATTCAAAATGGAGGTGGTTATGTTTCCTTTTACACTGGTATTGCAATTCATTTTCTGTTAGTAAGCAAGAATATTGACCAACTGTATTACACTCTGTTCTCACACTGCTATAAAGAAATACCCAAGACTGGGTAATTTATCAAGGGAAGAGATTTAATGGACTCACAGTTCCACATGGCTGGGGAGGCCTCAGGAAACTTACAACCATGGTGGAAAGGGAAGACGCACATCTTACATGGTGGCAGGAGAGAGATAACAAGCAAGAGCAAGGAAAACTGCCTTATAAAACCACCAGATGTCATGACAACTCTCTCATTATCACAAGAACAGCATGGGAGAAACCACCCCCATGATACAATCACTGCCCACTTGGTCCCTCCCTCTACACATGGGGATTATGGGGATTACAATTTGCAGTGAGATTTGGTTGGGGACACAGAGCCAAACCATATCACCAACATAATATAAAATCACTTTGAAAGGACCTCAAAATACATCCTAAAATTTGTTTCAAAGATGAAAAATATAACTTAAAATACCATGACTTCTGAATCAGGGTAGTTTGCAAGGTGATTATCTTCACAATTAGAACCAAAATGCTTAATAATACTATTTTAGTTTGTGTAAAACTTTAAAGAGTATTCATGCTCTTCATCTCCCTATTTCTATCTTTTTTAAAGAAAAGCAGTCAATTAGTTAAATAATCACTAATGCAGTTTTATATGATAATAAATAATGACACCAACTTGGATTGTCTTAACAAATCTGAACAGTGACTTTTCTTTTGAGAATTGAAAGCATCCCTAGAAACAAATTTGCCTGTATGTTTAATGACTCATACATTCCAAATACATCCAGGAGACAATCAACAGTTTATCTGATGTATGATATATAAAACAAATTATTTAAGTGAACTTCATTTATCTTAGTCTATACGATATAATCATAATGCTATTTATAATGAGCTCAAATAGCAACAAGAAAATATTGGAGAAGTTAATATTGAAGAAATAAAATTAATCAAGCTGTCCTACTATTCAATTTCTGAATATTCAGATACAGTAAATGTTAGTTAATACATGAACAAGTAATTATCAAGAAAATAATCCGATTTACAATAACTAACAAAAAAATCTTATGGATGAGTTTAACCAAGGAGGTGAAAGATTACTACACTGAGAGATCAATACACTAAAACACTGAAAAACATTGATAAAAAAACTGAAGAAGACACAAATAAATGGAAAGATATTTTGTGCTCATGAATTAGAACCCTTAATATTGTTAAAATGTCCATACTATTCAAAACAATCTACAGATTCCATTCAATCCCTATCAAAATATCAATGAAATTCTTCACAGAAATAGAAAAAAATACTCTAAAATTCATATGGAACCACAAAACACCCCAAATAGCAAAGCAATCTTGAGCAAAAAGAACAGATCTGGAGGCATCACACCACCTGATTTCAAAATACACTACAAAGCTAATAGTAACTAAAACAGCATGGTACTGGCATTAAAACAGACACACAGGCCAACAGAACAGAATAGAGAAGATATAAATAAATTCATGCACTTATAGCCAACTTATTTTCAACAAAGGTGCCAAGTATACACGTGAAGAAAGGACAGTCTTTCAATAATTGGTGCTGGGAAAACTAGATAGTCACCTGCAGAAGAATGAAGCTAGACCTCTATCTCTCACCATGTACAAAATCAATTCAAAATTGATTAAAGGCTGAAATGTAAGATCTGAAATGATAAAACTACTGGAAGGAAACCTAGGAGAAATGCTTCATGACATTGGTCTGGGCAAGGATTTTTTTGGATAAGACCACAAAAGCACAAGCAAGAAGAGCAAAAATAGCAAAATGGAATTACATCTAATGTAAATGCTCCTGTACACCAAAGGAAACACTCTAAAGAGTGAAAATAGAACTTACAGAATGGGAGAAAATATTTGAAAACTATGCATCTGACAAGAGGTAATATACAGAATATATCAGGAACTCAACTCAATAGCAAAAACCCAATTAATCCAATTTAAAAATATGCAAAACACCTGAGTAGATATTTCTCAAAAGAAGATAAACAAATGGCAATGGGTATATGAAAAAATGCTCATTATCACTAATAATCAGGGAAAAGCAAATCAAAACCACAATGAGATATCACCTCACTCTGATTAGAATGACTGTTATCACAAAGACAAAAAATAACAAATGCTGGCAGATGTGGGGAAAGGGAATTCTTATACACTGGTGGAAATGTAATTAGTATTAGCTATTATGGAAAACAGTATGTAGGTTCCTCAAAAAATTAAAAATGGAACAACCATAAAATCCAGCAGTTGCACTATGGAGTATAAATCCAAAGAAAATTAGGTTGGTATGTTGAAGAGATAGCTGCACTCTCATGTTTATTGAAGCTCTATTCATAATAGCCATGATATGGATTCAACCTAAGTATCTACCAATGGATGAATGGATAAAGGAAATTTGGTGTACACACACACACACACACACACACACACACACACACACACATAATGGAGTACTACTGAGCCCTAAAAAAGCATGAAATCATGTCATTTGTGGCAACATGGATGACACTTGAGGACATTATGATAGGTGAAATAAGCAAGACAAAGAAAGACAAAGGCCTTCCTTATTATCTCACTTACCTGTAGAATCTACAGGAGTTGATCTCATAGAACTAAAGAGCAGAATAGTGGCTCCCAGATCTGGAACGTGTACAAGAGGAAGGATGGGGAGAAACTGAGTCAGCAGGTACAAAGTCACAGTTAGATAGGAAGAATAGGTTCTGGTGTTCTATTGCACAGTAGAATGACAATGGTTAACAGTATTGTATATTTTAAATAGCTGGAAAAGAGGATTTTGAATGTTCTCGCCACAAAAAAAAATGATAAATGTGCGAAGTTATGGATATGCTAAATGCCCTGATCTGATTTTCGCACAATGTATACATGTATCACAACATCACACTATATACCCCATAAATATATTTATTATTATGTGTCTCTTAAAAACAAAATTTCAAAAATGGTAATCTTGTTATACTAAGGTTTCTGAAAATGCAAAGAGAAATGTGATATATATATGTTACTCCTTTAAACTTAAAGAGTAAAAAATTAAAATCAATGTATCCTAAATACTAAAAAAAAATTAGAATGTTGAGCTAAGACGACAAGATGAAAAAGAGTAGTACTTTTAGTGCAGGAGTAAATTTCAGAATTTTAGAGATTGTATTTTTAAAGGTAAATCACTACCTGTCCTGTTAAGAGGAAGCTAAGACAGATACTGTGGTTCTCACCTGTAATCTCAGCACTTTGAGAGGCCAAGGCAAGTGGATGGCTTGAGCCCAGGAGCTTGAGACCAGCCTAGGCAACATAGGGACATGCCATCTCTACCAAGAAATACAAATTAAAAATTTAGCCAGGCCTGGTGGCATGCATCTGGGGTGCTACCACCCAGCTACTCCGGAGACTGAGGCAGGAGGATTGCTTAAGCCAGGGAGATCGAGCTGCAGTGAGCCATAATCATGCCACTGCGCTCCAGCCTGGGTGACAGAGCAAGAAACTGTCTCAAATTAAAAAGGTGCGGGAAGATAAGTTTGTGTTTATACCTTTGTAAATATAATTCTGAAACTGTAGCGTATTTTTGACAAGTGCTTTGCTTTTGTTATCAAATAATGCTGGCAGTGGAATGAGGCTCACGACATTATTATCAATAAACACATAAAGAAAATAAAAGGCTATACCTATTTTTCTTTCTAATGTTCTCAAGAGTAGGCCAAAAATATAACAAGCAAGATACTAGAGGTTTAGTTAATCTGATTGTATTGTTTTCATATAGATCTCTAGATTTCTGCAATTGGATGTGTTTAACATGAAACCTTGATATATGATTTCACTACCAACAACAACAAAAAATCAGTTGGGATTATGATTTCTAATGGTGTGGAAACCCTGTTTTATAAAAATAAGACACATTAGCTACTTAAAGTTCATCTGAACCTGAACTGTAATTATTTCAGAGAAGTCCTGAAATCATTTTGGTCCTGATTTAGAGGTCTTCTTTGTCTTTTCAATTTAAAGCAATTTTCATGTATAGATTTTTACCACATTTCCACCTTTTATAAAACCCTAAAGAATATCAGTCACTAAACCTACTGTAGTAACTGATCTGATATTCATTTAAGCTAAAACTTTAAGCTAAAAGAAAATAATTAAATTTGTTTGACCTAAAAAGAATGTCCTTGCATTTTGTAGTCTCCATTAAAAAAAAAAACACTCCAGTAATCTTTCGAATCTTTTTTCAGCCAACAGCTCTGTAACATCTTGCCTCTATACATGATACTGCCTTTTTAGCCAATTCCAACCTAGAGCAATGAGTAACCATGGCTCCATCCAATTTTCCACATGACATCTGTGGCAGTAGAAGTATTAACAGGACTTCTCTCCTGGAGAGCTTTGCCTTAGGAAGAGCTTAAATTTCTGTAAGAAAGTCACTGACACAGGAATTCAGTCAGGACTCTGCACTAGGACTAGAAGCTGCCAGGGTTCAGATGCTGACAAGGCAATGTTTCTTATCTCTGAGATTTCGTGCCCTTCCCCCATGAAGCTATGCTCCTCCAGTCTGGCAGGGAACTCGCCTATGGACAAGAGGGTGACAGACATCTTTTGATGATGAGCATCCACAGGCACAGGGAACAGAATCTTGCTATTCATTGAGCTGCACAGCTGTGGCAACTGGATTCTGCCCGGGTGTCAACAATGGGGGCAGGGCTTCAGTTTAGGCAAAAGGGAAACAGCTTGAGTATAAATGAACTGCTTTTAGGCTCTTTGAATTTATCTTCCCCAGATGCCCTGAGATTTCAGATCCACTCTTTATTTTACTAAAACTTCATAGCTGTGAAGTGACCATCTTCTCTGAAGGCTCACATGGAAAAAAAACAAACATGTTTCTACATGGTAAAAGGCATGTTTGCATATTTACATATGAATATATTGATGGATCCTTGGCATTAATGATTCTACAACTGTATGTTCTTATTAAACTCTGGGTTCAGCATAAAATAGTATCTTACTGATTTATCTTCAGTGCTATTGTATGGTCTGCTTGGCTGCAGGTTGTATAAGATGACAAAGCATTGATTTAGTGAATTTTTTCACAGTTTTGTGAACAAAAAGCTTGCATATTTAATAAGTAAGTTATTCAAATCTTGAAGAAATACAGGCACGTTCTCCAGGCATTTTTAGAAAGAAGAGAAAGAGAATCTATAGCAGGTGGATATTTCCAACTAGGCAAAACGAAAAGCACACAAAGAGTTAACTCAACTGTATAAATGAATATGCTAATGAATGCATAATTTATCTCTGAAGAAACATATTTATTGTTTCACTATTTGATTAGATGGCTTCAATGTTCAATTAATCAGTTACCTTTCAATATCATTCCTGAGAGCTGCTTAATTAATCTGTTGCACTACCACCCTATTCATCCTATTAGCAATCCCTCGTCCCATTTCAAATGACAAAATCCAGGAACTGTGCCACGTAAAGACTTTATGTCAATGTCAAGTGAAGGTTGATAAGTGGCTGGCTTTTTTTCTTTATTAGGTTAATCAAACCAATCAGCTTTATAGGATTTACATTTGTCAGAAAATGTTAATGAGTTGAAACTAATGAGAAATAGAGGGGGAAAACCACCAAGAGAATGGTGGCACAGTTTATACACTTCAACAGCAATATACTACTTTCATTAAATAGATTGTTTTATCCTCGTTTTCTAAATGATGGATTTAAAATGTCCTGCTAATTAAACTCAAACTCGTCTATTGTGTTCTATATTGCATCTCTTACTAACAAAGGAAGCACAATAGATACACATTCATATGTGTCTTTGAATCAAAAAGTGTGCTGTATGTTTACTACTTTCTGGGCACTGTTTCTTCCATAATGTTATTAATAATAGTTCTAATAATAGTTCCATGAAAACTTACCAGTTTGAAGGTGCTATGTACATAGTATAGAGTAGATTTCAAGAAATGGTTGAGATACCCCAAGACTTAAATCATGGGTTGAGTTCTTTCCTCATCTGTTTCATTTAAGCTTGAAATATCTCTCTTCTACTTCTCTTTTCTTCCTTTTCTCTTACTATTGTCTGATACTCCGGATAATTCCTCAGCATTACTCCCTTTGCTCTCCAGAGCAGGGACGTTTTGATAGAAGTTGCAGCACAAATCTCATACCACCTCCTTTACCTTCTCAATGTCCTAGGCCAACTTTCATTTTCACCCACTACCTCACATACACACACTCCTTAGCATTCTCAGAGGGATTTAATACACTTTGAATCAATCATCTGTTACCTTAAATAACTTCCAAAGCAAAATACATATCAAACCATAAGGTGTTGTTTCTTTAATTGTATGGGTGCCATAAGTCTCTTTGAGAAAACTAATGATAATAATAGTAATATTTGTCATATACTTGAGTACTTTTAATTTGCCATGCACAACTTTAAATTCTTTTTTTCTATATGTCTCAGACAGAATAGATGGAGTGTGCAAGGATAGATGGTGAATATGTATTTTGGTAAATTTGTAGAGAAAACGAAGAAAACATATAATTCACTAAATAATGATAATATCCAATGTCTGTTGGGGGCAAAGAGCCTAGAATGGACAAAAGTAGTATGTAAATTTAGAAGGGTGGGAGATCAGATTTAAGGCATCCTGAGGTCAAGGTATATTTGGAGAAAAAAAATACTATTTAAACTTCGTTCAGAAGAATGACGTAGAGTTTTAATTAATCAATTCCAAACATGTAGAGGGAGAATTAGGATGGGGAAGAGAAAAAGTACACCCAAAGGAGGTAGGAAGGGTGAGTGTAAAACAGGAAAGGCAGAATGAATAGAAAGGATAAATAGAAATAAGAGAGTGGAAATAAATCCAAAGAAGTAAGTAAACAAAATAAAGGAAAAAAAAATCTGAGCATGGTGGTGCAACCCTGTAATTTCAGCTACTTGGAAGGCTAAGGTGGGAGGATTGCTGTAGCTAAGGAGTTCAAGACCAGCCTGGACAATATATCAAGACCCCATCTTGAAAGAAAAATAAAGCAAGGAAGCAAGAAGAAAGGAAGGAAAGGAAGGAAAGAAGGAAAGGAAGGAAATGAAGGAAGGGAGAGAGGGAGGAAAGGAGGGAGGGATAAAGATGAAGAGATAAGAAAAAAAGAAAAGAAAGCAAGAAAGAGAAAGAAGGAAAATGGAATAAGCTGTCCTGTTAAAGCACAAAGACCCTCAGACCGCATAGAAACAAACTCCAGCTATGTCATTTCTACAAGAGACTAATTAAATAAAACACAAGAACATGAAAAGTTTGAATGTCAAGCCTAGAAAGAATATGTCAGGAAAATATTAACAAAAAGAAAGCAGGTCTACAAAACAAAACAGACTTTGAGGGAAAATAAAAGCATTAAAAAAGATAAAGAGAGTCAATAAATAATGCTAAGAGGTTCAATTTGTTAGGAACATAACAATTGAAAACTTTATTTACTGAATAGTACAGCTTCAAAATATATAAACAAAACTGGTTTGATCTATGAAGAGGCATTAATAAATCCTTCACTATTTTAATACAGCTTTCTTGGTTATTGGCAGATCAAGTATAAAACCATATTGGCAAGGATAATTGAGATTTGAACAGCATAATTTAAAAGCTTTTAGGACACTGCGTTGGTTTGCCACCTTCCCCAAGTCCCAAATTCACCCCATATACACTCCCATCACTCTTGTCCTGACTTTTTCATTGGCTTATCTCAGGGTAGTCCTTGATTTGGGTCTGCACTGCAAGTTGTATTATCTGCCTCTGGTTTGTGGCTTTACTCATATTCTCAATTTTACCTTCACAGTTTCTTAAGCAAGATTTCTCCCTTCCAGTATCTTAGTGAAATAATTTTTTTTCATTTTTTGGTTTTTTTTTCTTCCAAAAAAAAGGATACATGTGCAGAATGTGCAGGTTTGTTACATAGGTATACATGTGCCATGGTGGTTTGCTGCACTTATTGACCCATCCTCTAAGTTCCTCCCCTCACTCCCACCTCCCAACAGGCCCTAGTATGTGTTTTTCCCCTCTCTGTGTCCATGTGTTCTCATTGTTCAACTCCCACTTATGAGTGAGAGTCGAACATGCAGTATTTGGTTTTCTGTTCCTGTGTTACTTTCCTGAGGATGATGGCTTCCAGCTTCATCCATGTCCCTGCAAAGGACATAATCTCATTCCTTTTTATGGCTGGATAGTCTTCCATGATGTATATGTGCCATATTTTCATTATCCAGTCTATCTATTGATGGGCATTTGTGTTGGTTTTGTGTCTTTATGATTGTAAATAGCGCTGCAGTAAACATACTTGTGCATGTGTCTTTATAAGAGAATGATTTATATTCCTTTGGGTATATACCCAGTAATGGGATTGCTGGGTCAAATGAAATTTCTGGTTCTAGATCCTTGAGGAATTGCCATACTGTCTTCCACAATGGCTGAACTAGTTTACATTCCCACCAACAGTATAAAAGCATTCCTGTTTCTCCACAGCCTCACCAATATCCACTGTTTCCTGACTTTAATAATTGCCATTCTGACTGGTGTAAGATGGTATCTCACTGTGGTTTTGATTTGCATTTCTCTAATGACAAGTGATGATGAGCTTTTTTTCATATGTTTGTTGGCTGCATAAATGTCTTCTTTTGAGAAGTGTCTGTTCATACCCTTTGCCCGCTTTTTGATGGGGTTGTTTGTTTTTTCTTGTAAATTTGTTTAAGTTCCTTGCAGATTCTGGATATTAGACCTTTGTCAGGTGGGTAGATTTCAAAAATGTTCTCCCATTCTGTAGGTTGCCTGTTCACTCTGATGATAGTTTCTTTTGCTGTGCAGAAGCTCTTTAGTTTAATTAGATCCCATTTGTCAATTTTGGCTTTTGTTGCAATTACTTTTAGCATTTTTGTCATGAAGTCTTTGCCTATGCCTACATCCTGAATGGTATTGCCTAGGTTTTCTTCCAGGGTTATTATAATTTTGGGTTTTACATTTAAGTCTTTAATCCATCTTGAGTTGATTTCTGTATAAGGTATAAGGAAGGGTTCCAGTTTCAGTTTTCTGCATATGGCTAGCCGGTTTTCCCAGCACCGTTTATCCAATAGGAGATCCTTTCCCCATTGCTTGTTTTTGTCAGGCTTGTTGAAGATTAGATGGTTGTAGATGTGTGGTGTTATTTCTAAGGTCTCCATTCTGCTGCATTGGTCCCAATGTCTGTGGTGTTACCAGTACCATCCTGTTTTGGTTACTGGAGCCTTGTAGTATAGTTTGAAGTCAGGTAGAGTGATGCCTCCAGCTTTGTTCTTTTTGTTTAGGATTGTCTTGGCTATATGGGGTCTTTTTTGATTCCATATGAAATTTAAAATAGTTTTTTCTAATTCTGTGAAGAATGTCAATGGTAGTTTGATGGGAATAGCACTGAATCTATAAATTACTTTGGGCAGTGGCCATTTTCATGATACTGATTCTTCCTATCCATGAGGATGGAATGATTTTCTGTTTGTTTGCATCCTCTCTTATTTCCTTGAGCAGTGGTTTGTAGTTCTCCTTGAAGAGATCCTTCACATCCCATGTTAGCTGTATTCCTAGGTATTTTGTTCTCTTTGTAGAGATTGTGAATGGGAGTTCATTCATGATTTGGCTCTCCGCTCGTCTCTTGTTGGTGTAAATGAATCCTTATGATTTTTGCACAGTGATTTTGTATCTTGAGAGATACACAAACTAAAATTGTGTCCTCAGGATACAGCTTCAAATTCTATATGTTTATTATTTTATTCAATTTTGTGTTCAAATCATCCTATGTGCTATCATTTTTCCAATTACACAGATGAGAAAATTGAGGCCCTGGGAGATTAAATTACTTGCTCAAGAGAGCACACCTATTCTATTAAAAGGGAGATAAAATAATATTTATAATTTTTAAAAATATAATTCTGAAAACTCTAGCAGCTTTTTGACAAGTGTTTTGCTTTTGTTGTCAATTAATACTGTTACCAAATGATACTCTTCTTAATTTATTCATATCCACAGTGACGAATTGCACAAAATTATCCAAAAGATTATTAGGTAGGTCTCATTTAGTGGCAACCAAGAGTAAACAAACTATTTTAAGCAAAAAGATAATTTCTTGGCATGAAGTACTAGGAAGTACAAGTGTACAGATGGCCTTAGACATGGCTGGATCTGGGTACTGAATATGTAATCAGAATATTATCTCTCCCCATCTCCCCGCATGCTTTCCTCTATATTAACTTCATTTTTAGACAGGGGAGACTGAGTAGATCACAGTTTTAGGAAGTTGACCCTGAGTCGGTCTGCCTGTGTGTTCCAGTCCTATCTAATTAGAAACAGAGGTTACAAATAAGTTCTTCAACATTGTTTATTTCTCAATAGCACCTAGAACAGTATTGGCACATAGTAGATGCTCATTAATTTTTTTTTTTTTTTTTTTTTTTTTTTTTTTTTTGAGATGGAGTCTCGCTCTGTCCCCAGGCTGGAGTGCAGTGGCGCGATCTCCGATCACTGCAACCTCTACCTTCCGGTTTCAAGTGATTGTCGTGCCTCAGCCTCCCAAGTAGCTGGGACTACAAGCACCACACCACAGCGCCCAGCTGATTTGTGTGTGTGTGTGTATTTTTAGTAGAGACGGAGTTTCACCAGGTTGACCAGGCTGGTCTCAAACTCTTGACCTCAAGTGATATGCTGGCCTCGGCCTCCCAAAGTGCTGGGATTACAGGCGTGAGCCACTGCACCCGGCCTAAATGCTCACTAAAATTTATTAACTGAATGGCTTATGTGAAGAAACTCTTGTTGAATTACTGGAAGAGGTTAAGGCAAACACCTGTCTTTGATAATACTTATTCTAAAATGTTATTTATAAGCTTGGTTATATGTATAGTGAGATTTTACCAAGTTATGATTTGTATAAGAAAACATTTGGCCGGGCACGGTGGCTCAAGTCTGTAATCCCAGCTCTTTGGGAGGCCGAGGCGGGCGGATCACGAGGTCAAGAGATCCAGACCATCCTGGCTAACACGGTGAAACCCCGTCTCTACTAAAAATACAAAAAAATTAGCCGGGCGTGGTGGCGGGCGCCTGTGGTCCCAGCTACTCAGGAGGCTGAGGCAGGAGAATGGTGTGAACCCGGGAGGCGGAGCTTGCAGTGAGCCGAGAATGCGCCACTGCACTCCAGCCTGGGCGACAGAGTGCGACACCGTCTCAAAAAAAAAAAAAAAAAGAGAAAAGAAAACTTTTATTAGAGATAATAAGTTCAAAATATAAACAGGTAAGGTAGAAATGGTACACACGAATAACAAACATAAAAGTACAGATGGAACTGTGTTAGGAGGCAGGACTCAACTCTGGAGGTGGAGCTCAGATACCAGACAAAATTGAGGACTAAGACAAGGACTGGGCGGAAGTAGCTTTCCTGAAGACATGCTCACTAGTGTGCCATGTCAGTTTACCATTGCAATGGCAGCACCTGCGAGCGACCACCGCCTTTCCAGGCAATAACCCGATGACCCAGAAGTTACTACCCTTTTCCGGGAAATTTCTACCTAAATCACCCCTTGATCTGTATTAAAGTAAGTAGGCCAGGCTTCACACCTGTAATCCTAGCACTTTGGAAGGCCAAGGCAGGCAGATCACTTGAGGCCAGGAGTTGGAGAACAGGCTGGCAAACATGGGGAAACCCATCTCTACTAAAAACACAAAATTAGCCAGCCCAGGCCTGTAATCCCAGCTACTCGGGAGGCTGAAGCATGAGAATCGCTCGAGCCTGGGAGGCGAAGGTTGCAGTGAGCCGAGATCGCGCCAATGGACTCTAGCCTGGGCGACAGAGAGAACTCCATCTGAAACAAAACAAAACAAAACAAAACAAACAAACAAAAAAGTAGGTGTAAATGTGATTGCAGACCTGCCCTGAACTGCTACTCTCAGCACACTGCCTATGGGGTAGCCCTGCTCTCTGCAGGAGCAGTCACAAGAGTTGTAACACTGCCAGAGCTGTTAACACTGCTGCCTCGATACAACTGTTTTCTTCTACCCTACCACCAGCTTGTCCTTGAATTCTCTGCTGGACAAAGCCAAGAACAGTTGCGGACTAAGCTCCACTGTCCTGCATCAGAATGGCTTCAAAAGTTACAAATTGTCAATGACAAAATGTAAATTGACACTAATAAGTTAATCACAAAATTGAGCCCTTAAAAATGATTTCAATGTTATATTAGGAACAAAGCTTCCTTTCCTGCTGTTTTTCTATGTATTCCCAGAAAAAAATTCATAGTTTGTGTGATAATTCTTTATTCAAGCTTGACTAAAACTTATAAGCAACTACATAGAGTTACCTTGGACTCCTCTTTATCGTTTAACATGTGGATGTAACATTCAACCCAAACTCATTCAAGTACAGAAGGGTGATGTTTTCTTAATATTAGTACAGTAGAGTTCATAGATAGATGTTTTTGGCTATGTTATAAGCCCAAAATGGCATGATTAAAGCCATTTTACATTTCTCTGCATGCTGGAGTATTTTGTAAAATGGCTGTTTCTAAGACAAATGCATAAGAGCTTCTGCGTATAATGAAGCCATAGTCTTCAGGTAAAAAAGAAAAAAAAACCCTCTAGTTAGGCAAGTTTTCTCTTTATCTGAAGGTTTGTAAGTTCAAAATTAACCATTTAAAAATGATCAGAAGATTTTAAATTAATGTACGTTTTTATGTAGCACATGCAAAGTTTAAACTGTTTCTTAGTGACTTAGGAGTGATCATCATGACTATTAATTACACACAGATGCTGTCCTAGGCTCTTTTCAGGCATTTATGTTGTAATTCATGGTACTACTACTGTGAGTCCTCCACCCTCCATTAGAGTTATTTATTTATGCTCTGCCTTATGCTAAAGGACTTAATATTCCTTAAAATACATCTTAAAAGATTTTTTTCTGTGTCAGTTTGCCAAGAATAATGGCCTCCAGCTCCATTCCTGTCCCTGCAAAGGATATGATCTTGTTCTTTTCTGTGGCTGCATGGTATTCCATGGTGTATATGTACTACATTTTCTTTATCCAGTCTGTCATTGATGAGCATTTAACCAAATACTGCATGTTCTCACTTATAAGTGGGAGCTAAATGATGAGAACACATGGACTTATAGAGGGGAACACTCTGGGCCTATTAGAAGGAGGAGGGTGGGAGGAGGGAGAGCAGGGAAAATAACTAATGGGTACTAGGCTTAATCCCTGGGGGATGAAATAATCTGTATAACACACCTCCAGGACACAAGTTTACCTGTGTAACAAACCTGCACTTGTACCCCTGAACCTAAAAGTTAAAAAAAAAAATTTTTTTTTAAATGTTAAGAAAACGAAGAAATCAGGACACTGATGAATTAAGTAGAATGAATAAGACGAAGCTGGGGACGATATTAGTACACAAAGTACATGTTGTGAACTGCTGCCCATATGCTGGAAGAAGGCACACATGACTAGCAAGCCCCCAAAACAGGGAGATGTCAAATGGGCTGCAGTTGTTTGTGTTCAAAGGTGCAGAAGAATCAGAACCATTTCTGACACTGAGCAAAACTTCCCAGGGTCTCCACAGCTTCCCACATGTTCTCTGTTTTACCTGGAATGTCCTTCCACCACTCTCCACCTGGCTAACTCTTTTTGAAAACACTGTTCAAAAATCCCTCATCCGTATCCTGAATGTTTAGTTACCTTTCTCCTCCATAGTGTTGAAAGCTCCTCAATGGAGCTTTCCAATGGAGCTCCTCCTAATAAACATGCTCATTATAAATCTAAAAAACTAGTTTCTTAGAGCTATTTTTATAGCTTTTCCTACTGTACACACACTTCAGGGGAAAAAAAAAAAACCAGCTTTATAGTTGAACTAACACAGTGCAACTTAACACCTGCAACTAGGGGCCTCACTTCATTCAGAGATATATTTTAGCAGGTTAGATATATTGCAAATCATTATACAACTGTAGGAAATTATTATTTCAACCAAATATTTGATATGTGTTAAGCAATGATGAATTTGAAGTTACTTTAATGTATCTTGAGAACAGTGATTCTATGTTGCTTCTTTAAATATGGAGCAATTTACTTTCCTGTCAATGGAACTGGGTATGACATTGACTTTTGTAAGGTACGCAGGCATGCACCTGTACCTGGGCCAAAGGAGATCCTACTCCAGCATGCAGAGAAATGTAAAATGGCTTTAATCATGCCAGAAATAAAGGCTGCTCTAATTGGATGTTTTGTCTTTGATATTGTCTCTTTCCTTGATTAAGCTATTAGCTATCACTTCTTACAACTCTCCAAATACTTACATACTCAAAAATTTCCATGTGTAGTGTAAGTTAGATTAGTAAACTAGATATTTAAGCTTATTTTAAAATTATCTAAGTAAAAATATGATGTACCTCATGTAGACCTAACTGAATACATTCTGATGAGTATGAGATGGTTAAGGTGGATATTAAACCTGCTTTTCTGCCTTGAGAGCTCTTCTACCACTCCACATCCAGTTACTCAACAAGCTACAGCATTTCGCTTCTGAAATAGCTCTGCTCCTGTTTTTTAGCTGTCTCTTTATTTGGGGGCTTATGTCATCTTACATGGCATATTGCAGAAATACCCTATTTGGTCTCTCTGTCATTACCCTTCTAATCCAACCTTTACACTCATCTTTTGGATACCTTTCATAAATGCAAATCTTTCTATAAATACCTAACAACCTTGGAATAAAAGCCAAATTCTTTTCTCACTCAGTTATTCACACAAATTTTTGTTATGTGTCATGCATTGTGTTGGATGCTTAACAACACATGCGAAATCTTTCCAAGATTGTCTCCCTTGCTTCAACTCCCAGCTTTCCCCCACTCATAGTCTATGAGTACATTTATTATCCAGAAGTATGAACTCCTCCAGAATGCAGAATATTCTCTCATATTTCCAATTGTTTGCATATTCTGGTGCTTCCGCATGAAATATTCTTCCCTCTTGTCCTTTTAAGACTCATCTCCTCTGTAAAGACTTCTTGTCACTTCTTCCCATCCTTAGGCAGAGATAGAGACTTTGTTTTGGTGCTCAAATAGCCATGTTTTCAATACTTGCATGATAAGTTTAATCATGGTGTTTGTAACTTTTTGTGTCCTTGCATTATTTTTTCTAATAGATTGGGAAGACAGGGGTATTATCTTGTTCATCTTGTGTCCATGACAAATAGTACATGTTCAGTTAATGTCTACTGAAGAAATTACTGAGTTATCACCTGCCTGCTTTCGGTGGGCAATAAATTGATGGCACTACCATGGTCCAAGCCCTATTGTATGTCATGTTTATTTGCAAAATTGCCTTCTACCTTCCCTTCTGATTAGATTGTAAGCCCTTGAAGATCAGGGAGTTATTACTCATGTGATACCTAGAAAAATGCTTAGCATGTAGTAAGTACTCAATCCATAATTACTGAATTGAATTGAAAGTACTCCAACAAATTTCCTTGTAGTTTGTTTGAACTTCTAAAATGATGACATCATTGCTGTGTGATTAATAAAGACATTTAAAGAAGGAATTACAAAACTTCCTAGGGAAATCATTTCTCCTCTTAGTTCCCGCTCTCTTCTGGTTTCTTACCCACTCTAATAGACTAATTAGACTTGCATAGAGATGGGACAGCAGGCTGTGGAAGGGAAAGCTGTATAATGCAGTAGAAGTACCATAGAAATAAAAAAATAAATTGGATTTTTTGATGACAAAAAAGTATAGAAAAAATTGCTGGAAACATTAATTCAAGAAGCATCTAGGTGAGAGGAAGCAGAATCAGAACTGTGTTTGGGGAAGGAAGCAGTCAAAGTGAGGCAGTTTTGACAGTATGTGGTGGATAGTCTCTCTGGTATGACTAATTGAGAATTGATTGTGCATGCAGAAAGGTTATGTTTTATTAAGGGAAACCTTTTTTCCCTTTTGTCGTTATGAAATCCACTCTTCTGCAGATGTTATTCCCTTCCCATACTAAACCCTCATTAATTTATAATTCACCGCATTGCTTTAAAAGTGCTGCACAGATTTCCTGTTTCTCTCACATGCAGTGCTTCTAATAGAGAAAGTCAACTCAGGATATAGGTTGAAATGCTGCTTGTCTTGAGGGCTGCATGCCAGACTTGATGGTGCCAAAACATTTCACCAATTGTCTCTTAGATCATTGTAAAGGTTTCAAAGTGCTATTTCATAGGCTTTAAGAAAGTGAATTTACACTCTAAAACAACTCTTTCACTATTGACTGTAAATTGACTCTGGTGTTTGGAATCTGGAGTCAAAGTCAAATGGTTTCCTGGTGGGATTCTCTTAATTTCAAGGACAAGAACTCACAGAGAGAAGGGTACACTTTCTTCAAGTGAAGATTCTGAGGGCAGAGGCAAAAGAAACACAGAGAAGGAAATGAATACCCCTTCTCCCATCATAACTCTTCTCTCTGCCAGTAAATTTGACAGAACTTGGGAAATATTTGGGTACAGAGATGTAGAAAAATAAGTGAAAATGGCTTTTCAATTTTTAATTACCCAACATGCCATTGGTGAAGATAAGAATTAAAGGAGGATTAGTTTTCACATTTCTTTTCATTGATTACTACTTTACTGATATATAGGAAATAAAATGATAAATTGACAATTTAGATATATGTTTTCAATTTAAACATCTTGAATATGAAATGCCTAAGAGATATATAGATAGAAGCTTCAGGACTTTTTAGAGATTTCAAGTAAATATGGTGTGTGTGTGTGTGTGTATGTGTGTCTGCATGTGTGTGGTGTGCGTTGGGGTGAATGTATTACTATGAAGTATAATACAGGGGTTAAAATCTCACATATCTCACATGTTCCAGACAGAGAACATACATACATAAAGCAAAACCAGGATGGGGGCTGATAGGAATATGTGGCTGGACAAAAGGGTCAGTAGCTATTAAGCTCTGGTTGATTACTGCCAAAGAAGAATGCAGGCCAGTGTGACCAAATTTGGTGTTTTTCCAAGAGAAACTGGAAAACTATATTTTTGTTCGTTCAATGTCACATGAATATCTGCAACTAACTAAAAATTGAAATTTTATGATGTCCAAATAAAACACATATATAAGGCAAATTCAGCCCCACAGGATACTAGTTTGAGACCTCTGAATTAAAGTCTTATTGGGAGTAAAAGACACGTAACATGTTAAGAAATTGAAGAGTGGTCTAAGCCATTACATAACTGGAAGTCAAATTAAATAAAATTAAGTGTCAATGGATAAACTTGTAAGTATTCTGGAAAGGGAGAGATCAATGTTGGTTGAGGTTTAACCAAAATTATGTGAAGAAGTGGGGCTTTGCCTGAAACTTGAGGAATGATTGGCTATCATTGGCAATAAACAAGGGAGAAATAGAGATGATGCTTAGGGAAGACAGTGAGTAGCTTATTCTTAGTGGAAACAAAGAAAGAACTAGAACCATTTCTCCTAACTCCTGGTTTATTGTTTTATCTTCCATGTTCTACCACCTCCTATTTGATCTTGGATAAAACAGGGATACATAGAAATATTAATTAATTAAGCAAATATTTATTGAGCACCTACTGTGTGCCAAACACTTGTCTAGGGTATAAGGTACAGTATATGTTAATGCTGTATACATGCTTTCCCACATAGAGAAACAGGTCAGCTCCAGCTTTTTTACATAAACATTCACACTAGATACACTTTAATTATTCTAGAAGGCAGGGAAATTATTTGAGAATTTTCATAATCCTGGGGAAATATAGTAAAAAATAAAATTTTGAATATGGACATACTATATCAAGAGCAAATAGTTGTGCCAATATTTCTAGAAGCAAATGAGTATTAAACAATATCTTGTTTATCTAAAGCTAATAAAAATTTAGAAATGGGTAGCCAAACTAAAATAGCAATTTGATCAGCTAATGAACACATTTCATTCAACAGCCATTGAATGAGTACTTATCATAGGGACAAGTATTAAAATCAATGTAAGTAATATTATTATACTTTGTTCCTTGGCTCTTATGCCCTTTGATAAGGTGGCATGTGGATTTGGAGAGAATAGAAAAGAGAAAAAGAACAAATATTTTGAGGAGGGTGAAACTGATGTGTGCCACCCCAAATCTTTGATTATATATTTTATGTAGCATTTCATTGTATAAAGAAATAATATACATGTATAAATAATTTTTTAAAAATTGGATTTCTAGTTTCAGCAAATGCCTTTATGCTCTTTTTAAAATATGACAGTCTGGTTTACAATTGAAGTACATTATGTATCAAAGGACCCATATTTGACAGTGTACAAAGTTATGCGTTTAAAAATAATTACACTGTTAACCAATGAATATGAGTTAATACTGGGAAGAAAAACTTTATTCAAGTGTTCATTGCCCATAGCAAAGTAAATTATAGAACAGAAAGTTAATAAAACATCTAAGTTGATGTTTCAAACTCAATATTACTTTTAAAACATCATCAAGCAGTTGAAAGCCATGCCAAAGAGATTAGTTAAAGGCTAGGTGACTGAATACGATATATGTACTTACAAAGCTTTCATTGCATAGTGACATTCTGTTCAAAACATACTATGTTGCTGGCCTAACCTTTCCATCTGTTTCTCACAGTCTTCTTATCCAGGTAGTTTTCCAAGACATACGGAATATTAGCTATGCACTCTCTAAATTTACCTTGAGAGAGATCAGATCCATATCATAAGAAAAATAAAGTGTCAGCATGACCATCTTAAATCTGTATCTTGGATATTATTTTTAAAAGCTAGTCTTTCATAGCTGACGTACTACATAACAAATACAATACATTTTAACCTTATTTTCCTGTGCACCTTCCACAAATCCATACTGCAATCACGAAAAGGGATACAAATCAATATTCACTTAATAATTTTGATTAGAAAAGGTATAACCCAAAGGACCATTCCAGTATTGAAATTTCAGTAATATTTCACCTCCCTCAGTCCTATTTCTACTGCATCAGCACAACATTATCTCAGCTAGCAGCCATTAAGATGGTTTTCTCTTTCATGTTGATGCTCTTGCATACATTTTACAGCCTGCTCTGATGGAATTTTTATCTTCGCAAATGTATTTCCTAATTTGTCTATTTCTGTGTCCAGTAAACTTTAGTCTATAGACTAAGAAGTCAAAAGTTATAGCTACCTTTAAGTTACATAACTTTAGAGACAGAATTTTCTACAGTGAGAAATTTAACATACTTTCTTAAGGCATTTTGGTGAACAATAAAACTTTCTTGTTAAATTTTTGCTTTGCAATTTACAAGAATTGGGAATTTGGGGTGATTTGAGAAAAAGAGGATTATTCAATGGATACCACCTGCATCATAAGGCTAGACTAATTCTTTTGAAAGGTTAAAATTGGCAGTTACTTTAAATGATCTTTTGTCGACTTTTGGAGGTAACACAGATGTCTACTACATTTTTCCCAGTGAATGTGTTATAAAATTTAACTGTAGGGTAGTGAGGCTGTGGATTCAGAGACATAATAAAGCTATTTGGAAATCTGGGAGATTTTGTTTTGTTACAGTAGTATTTTCCCTGAAGTCCCTTAGTCAATAGAAGGAATGCAATTTCCTAGGAACTGCAGATTACTTTATATGGGTGATTGACAATTTATAAAACTTGCATCTTTCCTAAAGAAGGTTTTTATATTGCACAGATATTTTGTTCACCACAAGCAAGATTAAAATAAGCTAATGAAATATGCAACTTGTTATTTCACATTTAGTGACTATGAAATAACTGCTGCTCTCAAAGAACCAATCTGTCAACCTCCAGAGGACTAAATAGTGCATGGGACAGGGGACAATCATAACTTAGCTAGTCAAATGCATTTTTTGTCTTGTCCGACTATATTATTAGATAGTATTGGTAAAATTAAGATTTTTTTAATTAAAACTTTTACTAAAAGCTTCTATTTCAAGGAATTTTTGACTATGAAATGGAATATAATGGATCAAATTTTTAAAATATTAATAGGTTAATATTTTTATATTGTGCATAATCCTGGTTCCCAAACAGATAAAATTTCTATATACAAAGAGTTTAGTTATGGGGGGTAAAATGAAAACTTTAAAAGAAATATTTTCTATTTAACAAAGACGTACAGGTGACTCTTAGTTACTCAAGGTAGGACAATCTCAGTCCACAAAGAGATTGTAAGTGTGTTTGAGTCAGGAGCCTAGTTTTTCCTTTATATTTTCTCCTTCATAATTATAAGCATATTAGGACAAATAACAACTTTTTATTGCATTGGGGGCTCTTGAAATAATGTAGTATGTTTTCTACCATATAGAAAACTATATTTTATCATAAAAACAGAAAAGTTTTAGCAAGGAGTAATCCTTCCCAGAAGACTGGATCTGTTGATTAACAGCATTTTAATGTGAGGACTCTGTCTTTGCAAAATTAACTGCAGATAATATTATGGTGGAATTAGTTGACAAGAGATGAATGTATAAGACAACAGTTTGGCAGAGGAAATATTAGTATGCATGCCATCCTTGAAGAATATTTTAAAAATATAATTTACATAAAGATCTTAGTGGTAGGATTTAACAGATTTTGACAGATGCATTCAACGGTGTAACCAACAAGCTAGTCAACAGATAGAACATCTTCGTCACCCAATCTCTTTCCAGTCAATCTCCCCTGTACCCAGCGCATAGAAAACCAGTGCTTCCATTTTTATCATCATAAATTGGCTTTGTCTGAATTTCATATAAATGAAATAATATGGTATATACTTAGATATTGTGATAATGAAATAAATGAGAAAAAATAGTATCACTTAGAAGTTAGAAGAGGCAAGGAAAGTGTTGTCAAAATAGAAAAGGCTTGTGTATATTGTTCATGAGCTCAAGGAAAAAGATCTGTGGCAAGAAAGAGCTAAAAGATTCAAAAGCAGGAGTAGCAACGATGTGATTTTGAAAGAGTAAAAACATCTTTTCTGAATTGAAGGTAACACGATGTGCAAACATAAATTCGTAGTGGTGTCAGTCAACACTGTTACATGACCTTTTTCAGAAAATTCTGAGCTGTTAAGGAGTAGGTTCAGAAGAATCAGAAGACATGATTTAGTCAATGTTAGTCATGGGCAAGATGGGTTCAGCAGAAGATCAGCTGTGGAATGATAATTAGAGCCCTAGTAAAAATATGTAGAGAAAAAGAGATAATAGTAAGGATTGAAGGAATGGCATTTACTATGCATAAGACATTTCTGCTCACTGATTATATGTTGATTGGACTAGTTTGTTACCAGTTTTAGCAGAAAATCTGAAAGTAGCCCTCTCTAGCTCATACTTCAGTTCTCTTTCCAGCTTTAAATAATTAACTTGTTTACTTGAATCTATCAAGGTTGATAATCCTCAGCAAGTTTAGGAAATGTTTTACTTCTCCTCCTACTGGTTTTTTTAAGTTTCTACACCTACTGGTATTGTAGATAAACATTAGTATGTATTTGTTAATAAAATCTTCTTTCAAAAAATTTGAAATTTTTACAGTTTTTCATCCTTCACAAAAGTATCTATATTTCAGATTAAATCTGACCAGAAGTCTAGACCGCTGTGCATTGCCAGAGGTAAATAGATTCTGACTTTAAACACAAGGAATGATACAGCAAGAAAAAGACAGTTGTTGCCCTAGAAGCAGCTCTACAATGACATCACTAACAGTGATGCTGGTTTCTAAATTGTCATCTACTCCATAAAACATTAATTTTGCATTCATCTTTTATTGAAAGCAGTCCTTATACACAGTTTCTATTTTAAAAATATCTATTTTTTAAAATTTATTGTACCATTTATTTCTTGGCCCTTAAGTGCTAGCTCAAAGATCATGATGACTTATTATCCCTGCTCCATGATTATGTCTTCTTAACTGCTCAACAATTTGGAGGAGCTCCTGTCCTTGTGGGTCTAGATTCCCCCAATTTTCAGTGCTTGCTCCACCTAGTAAGTGTCTTTCTGTGCATCTTGAATGTTCTCCAAGAGAGCGTGGATGAATAAGCCAGTGTCACTACATGCTTAAGTGCAAATAGCAGCCATTTCAGCAATCAGGGACAAGAGATCAGGCAAAAGCATTCTTTAACATTGTGCGATCTTCACATTTTTATTTAACGATTACTGATTTATTAAAGCTGCATATGTTCAGAAGATTCTGTTCCTTGTACAAGAAGTGTTTAAGTGCTTTTCTTATATCAATTTGTTCTTTCTGGAATTTTTTTTTAAATCTTCTCTTCCAAGCTTCATTAGTTATCAAAATCATTCTTTTTCATGTGCCAGGATGTGGCCCAAAGGTTAACTTGTCCATCTAACTTAATCAAGAGGTGACTGTACTCTGGTATCCCTGAGACATGCAGAATTAAAAGGTTATAAACCCTGAATGTTTAGAACATTGTTTCAGCACATATTAATTAGTGACAAATGACCTGAATTGATTCTATCTATATCCAGTTCAAATGAGCAAGCAGATATTCGACTTTTAGCTTCTAATGCTAGAAGCCTGGATGTTGGATTTTTTTTTCACAAGGAGACTCAGTGTCTAGTTTCAACAGCTTGAACAAGTTAGGCTTTTGATTTTATCAGTCTCACACAGGGTGAGCAGACTCTGCAGAAATGACTTACATTAAGTAAGGCTGTCAGAAACTGATTTATAGAGCAAAATGGCATTTTATCAATTTGCAGGTAGAAGAGAAAGAGAAGGGACTTTGCAACTGTGTAGAATGGAGTTTAATTCTCAACTTTACCATTTAATAGCTGTGTAACTTTGGAGATGTAATTTAATCTCTTTAAATTTATTTTTCCCATTTCTAAAATGAGTATAATACATATTCAGGACTCTGGTGAGAATTACATAGGCTAGTATGAAAAGTGCCTAGAAACCTCTCTGGAATATACTATGTGCTAAGTAAATATTAGTTTCTTTTTCATCATTTCTATTGAGAACAGAAATGTTTATCTAGTAAGAGTTTGGTGCACTTGTGGGTGGATTCCTTCAGAATGTCAGCCTACAAATTAAATAGTTATTTCGTGAACATGGAATTACACAAAGGATGATATTTTTATCTAGTACAGGATTAATGGATTGATCTTCTTTAACCTAGAAATGTCTCTGCGTGGATTGCTGGTATTGAACATTATTAGCCTTAAAGAGCCTCACTCATGGAGAATGTGAGAGGCACACAGGGAAATGTTGACTATACGGCGCTCCTTTTTAAATACTCCTAATGAGATGTTAACTTCTCATATTATAATCTTACTTAGAAGATGACATTCTTAGTTTATTTGACTCCTAAACTTTTGGGACGAGTACTTAATTAGAAAAATATTATAGGATCTTCAATGAGGTTTGGAGATACCTTAAAATTATCAGAAGTGATTAGGGTGTGGTTTCTACATTTTCATGTTGGTTCTTACTGACTTTAATTTCTGATGATTTTCAAACCCTGAAACTTATTTTGTATCTTCAGTGTACATAGTTAAAATTACACTTAAAAACAATTAAAATGAGGTATCTCATTTTGCAAAATAGCACTGTGGCTCATGTAATACTGTACATTTTTACCACTACTGCCTTCAAGCACTTATAAAACTTCTTTCCTCATTTTTCATTTCTCATGTTCAGTATTTCAGTTTTGTTGACAACTGAAAATGGGAATCAGATTTGAGGAATCCCTTCAATGTGGTTGATTTTTGCCCCATGAAAAAGAAGTGGTAATTTATATCAACTCTCAAGAAGTTTAGGCAAGGTGTGGGATGAAGGCAATAAAATCATAATTATAATATCATGTGCTAATGTGGAAGAACAAATTTTGAGTGTAGCAATAGGGGAGCGTCTGATTCAGACTAAACATGTACCTGCAAATTAGTCAAGAAATAATGAGACAATCTGTTACCAAACTCTTGGCTTTGCCGTTCTCTTTCTCTGGCACTACTACGAACCAAGATAAATAATTATACAATATGTAATAAAGCCACCTTGTTAATTGCCACTTAATAAAAATAAATTAGTAAAAAGTTTGGTTAATCAATCATTGGTTCATTGGTTGCTTCAATAGTAAGGCTGAGATCTGATGGCATGGCTTTGATGGTCCACATTCTTCCCAAGTGATAAATAGTAAACTCTTCTTTTAATCATCAGACTGTATTTATAGTCTTGACTAGCATCCATTCAATAATATTAATTTGTCATAAAAGAATATAGAATATGCATCATTTTGTTAGCCTGTCAGCACTGCAGGAAAATCAGCTCACACATATGTCATGAAGAAGATGGTGGTTTCATGTCCCTGGTTGGCAGTACATGTAAGGTTGCTGGTATAATGTACTTTGCCATTTCTGTTCCCTTTCTGAAAAAGAATTCCTTACTACCAAGGCTGCGCAGGTCCATATGCAATGACCAAGAGTACATAAAGATAATGTCCAGTTCAGTTCAGTTTTGTGGTGTGTTTGTATTTAAAATGTGAAGTAGCGTGTCTATATGCATTCATGTTTATTTGAACAAATGCTGTAAGTCCCCTGCAACCTTTTAGTTAAGTATTGTATTTTTCTGCACTAGAACTTTATTTGATTTTTATTTTTCTGATTTCATGTGCTATTTATTTATTAATCTTGAGCATGAATGCTTATGTTTGAGCATAGTTAGATGCTTTAAAATCCATGCATAATAATTCAAGCATTTGGGTTTCAAAAGAACCAGTTCTTTTGAACTGGTCATTTTGGTCATTACCTGTTTACAGTTTCTTTTGATTGGTCATTATATGTGAGCATTGTCCTGCTTCTTCATATGTGTATCAATTCTGTATCATACACTGGATATTGTGAATTATTGTAGAGACTTTGGATTCTGTTATATTCCCCCAACAAGTATTGCGGGGTTTTTTGTTGTTGATACTTGTCTGTTTAATAAGGCAATCAATTCAATACTTTGTGACCACTGCGGTAGGCAGCAGTTGAAATTTCTATTCAGATGTTTTAGCCTTAGTATTTTAAGAGTCTGTACTGCACAGTTCAGAGTTCTGCTAGATATTAGGTAGAGTTTACACACAGCACTTGTCCTTCTTCTCCCTCCAATTCTCTCTTTTTCAGTATTTCTTCTCCTCGCTTTCCAGGTGCTATGGTGGTTCCAAACTCTATTTCTTTTAAACCAGTGACACCATGAACATTATTTATATAAATTGAAGGCAATGGAGACAGACCAAAAGTAAACAGAAAGTAGAAAAAAATTAAAAGTCAAAACCTAGAAAATGAATGGCCCTAGGTGAGTTTGGGTGAGTTTCTTGTTTTTACAGGATTTTGTCTGAGGACCAAATAAATAACTAAATGTTTGTACAAAATGTACTATATATACATATTTATTCCACAATTTGTAGCTTAGAATTTGTATCTGTAGGGAAGTTGGTCTATTTGGAACTCTGAAAGCAGAACTCCACTCCAAACTTTTTAACTGCTGTTATCACCTTCTGGAATATGTCCTTTTAATATCCCTCAAATTTATTTCATATTATCCCAGTTTATCAAACATTTAGGACCCAATTGTAGTCGTAAAGGAATCTTTTTCTTACTGTTCTAGCTGACAGTGCAATCATCATCTCATATTGGAACTTAAATTCCCTGGCTTACTTCACCTCTCAGAGCCCCAGTTTTCAAATCTATAAACACAGAAATAATCATTCTTACCTCATAGGGGCATTATCAATATTAATAATACAATATTATGCATGTATGTATGGTATATTTTATATTAATATAATATATAATAGTAACATACCATACCATACACACACATTTATATACACACATATACATATATGTGTGTGTATGATATGTTATATACATACACACACACACACACACACACACACACACATATTAGCATGGTTGATACCTGGTAACTATTCAGCAAATTATGGGTGTAATTATGGGTTTAACGTCTGTCTACAATTTTTACTTAAATTGAAAGGCATGCATTTTTCAATTGCTACCTAAAGTCTCAGAAGGCTGCAATCAAGTATGAAGGCCAAGATGAGAAAGAGTTTATGCATTTACTTGATAACTCAAAAAAAAACACATATGGTAAATTATTCTTTTGTGCCACAGTAAATACTGAATATATTGGTGTCAAGCAATGGCTTAATTAATAGGATAAGAAACCATGTTCATAGAAGTTAGGAAACAAGTGTTTAGGGGTTAAATTATAATTAAAATAATTGACCTCTTAATAACTGAAAATGGTCTGTACCTAAAAAGTTGGTATAAAGTTATTATAAGTAGGATTAACTATCATTCATCAGCATTTTGTAACACTCAGATTTGAAAGAAAGAGAAAAAGAGAGCGATAAACAGGATTTATTCACAAGAGAACCTTCTGTGGCATTTTCTGAAGATTAGAAATAATCAGTTCTAACTCCTAAGACAACCTATAAGTGTAAAATAATAATTGATATTTATAATGATGATTCTGAGTTGCACAATTTAACTCATCAAATATGTTCATTCCCTTCCATAGATTATACTTAATAAGCCAAGAAGGGGATTCTCAATCATTTTCAAAAGATTTTTAATAAGGAATGAAATTTTAAAAATGTTTTCCTCCCTGGTTTACTTTAAATTCATGAGGAAATTTAATGAGTCAGATCATCCCATTTCCAAAGCATTGCACTATTTGTTAGGGTATACTTTTTTAAACCTCCAAGCTGCTCTGTGAAAGGTTACATTTATTTTTATGCTAATTTCCTGTCCTTACACTCAACTTCAACTGCCAAAAAGGAATGAGACTGAGGAAAGGAGAAAGAAAACAATAGGAAAGCCATTTATTCTTATACATGTAGGTCAACTTATTGGTTTATCGTCATTTAATTTGAATGTCACTTGGAAGATTTTATAGTGTGGAACAGATCGAAGTTGAAAGTGTGGGGAATAAAATTTTTTATTGTTCAGTAACTAAATAGTTCTTTTTTGGAAGCCGGAATTTAAATCCAGTCTGGTCAAACTGTTAAAAGAAAAAGAAAAAGTAAACATAGGAAAAGGAAATTTATGGGATGGAAAAATGTCATTTTCTAAGAACTTCTTGGTTGTAAAAATCCTGATTATTATCCCACAAAAAAGTGCACAAATGGAAAATGGGTCCAGGTAAAAGGGGTCAAGTTTAGCAAGACAAATTTGATGGTGTGGAGAGCTTCCACGTAAATACGACTTCATTTTAGATTAGTTATGTTCTGGGGTGACGTCTGTTATGGTGAGATAGCTCACAAAATTGGTGCTGGAGCTGATCAGCTGCGAAGTAATAAGAAAATAATTCATTTTGTGTTTTTTAATGATATTATTGGATTAATCATGAAAAACGACTTTTTGGTTTTTTTCAAATTTATTTATTTTAAATTGACATAAAATCATATGTATTTATCATGTACATGATGTTTTGAAGTATATATGCATTGTGAAATGGTTAAATCTAGCTAATTAACAAATGTGTTACCTCACATAGTTATCATTTTTATGGCCCAAACCCTTATACATCCACTCTCTTAGCATTTTTCAAGAATACAGTATGTCATTATTAACGCTAGTCCCCATGCTGTACAACAGATCTCTTGAAGTCATTCCTCCTAACTATAAGTATGTATTCTTTGACCAGCATCTTCCCAACCTTCTCTCCCAATGACTACCCCAGCCTCTGGTAACCACCATTCTACCGTCTATTTCTGTAAGATCAACTTTTCTAGATTCTACATATCAGTGACATTGTGCAGTATTTGTTTTTCTGTGCCTGGCTTATTTCACTGAACGCAGTGTCTTCCAGGTTCATCCATGTGGCTGCAAATGACAGGATTTCCTTCTTTCTTGTGGCTGAATAGATTATCACCCTCATGTAGGCCTAGTTTTTTTGTTTGTTTCTTTGTTTGTTTGTTTTTTTAGGCAGTGCTACTGATGCTCATTCCTTTATGAATTAATTTCTTTATTTGAACTTTTCTGGTTGGGAAAGGCAATATACATAGAAATCACTAATACCTGAGAAGAATTCATTTCCCTAATTGCTTCCTTTTATGGAAGAAGACAGACTGGGAAAGCTTTAAATTCTAAAGTTTAAGTCTTTTAGGGCTTGACATGACATCACATACCCCTTTGGAATTAATAGGAAGACAAGTTGCCTTGATAATCCTAAGGTTATCATTTCTGCTGTGAAGCAGGACACCAGCAGCTAGCACCCTCTTAATTGTTGTATCAACTTAAGTGTATGTAACTCATTTCCTCTTATTCTGTCTAGAACAAAGAAAAACAATGTGACAATATACCTGTTTTATGGGTCTAGAAACTGAGGAGCAAATAGGATTGTAAACATGAAAAGATCATTTTCAGGCACTTTCTTGTTCCAGGCAAGGAACATTCTTGTACGGATTGAGATGTCTGAAAATCAAAACACTGAGTAATTTACCAAAGGTTATATTTCAAGTAGTGAGAGCTAGAACACACATTCTCAAGTACAGTGGTATTTTATTGCCACCAACTACTGTCTGATCTTCTCAAGATTCCTCAACTTTCTTATCTGCAAAATAAGGACAAAGATAAAAATATTTAACTCAAAATATAATTAGCATGATTCAACGGAATAATGTATAAAAATGATTAGTGGTGCTGTGTGTATATAAGATAATAATGCTAATAAGGTGGGCCCATAGTAATTTTTTAATAACTATTCTCTTTTAATACAAAAATATATACTGCAAGACTCACATGTTGGTTGGAAATTTCCCTCAAATCACCTACTGATTACCCTTGATTTCCCATTGTTTTTAGTTTCTCAAAACTAATGAAATGAAATATAGCAGAATGCTAACCCATATAAAAATAAAGTGTACCCAAATATTGTAATGTAAAAAATATATATATATTCATATAGTAGAGCCAGAAGTGGAGTTCAAGCATGTTTAACCAAATAAGAGTTTTAATTTGCAGTTCAATCATGGGTTCAAACAGCCCATTTTTGGACCACAACAACATATATGTCTAGCTTACTTTAATTACCTTACTTCAAAAAGTCTTGATGTTACAAGAAAATACCTGCTTTTTAACATCCAACTCCCTTCTACCAGCATGATCTTACTTCCTCCTTCTCCAGCCTGTATCCCATGGTCTTTTATTATAGTTAGATCCTTACAAACTATAACTCTCTTGTCCTTTTTATCTTCCACTTTTCTTACTTAGCAAACCCAAACCTCTATAAATCCAGCTATCTGCATACCCTAGGCTTAAATACAAACTGGTAAACATAGCTGGATAAGAATTACTCAAGTATTATGACAGGTTTCATACAATGTGCATGACCATAAACCTCAGATTAACACACACCACAGCTCAGAAACCCTGCAGTCTGGCTCTAGTGAATTCCTTTGTTATATGCTTAGAGTTTCTCTCAAAGCACATTATGACTAAGGAGTGTGTGTATAGGGCTCCCATCCACAGGATTTCATGGCACATTCCATCTTCTACACCACTCTAACCCACTGAAGTCCTAGAAAGGTATTTAGGTCAATTAAGCCACTAGACAATGTGAGCTGCTGATAATAAGGCAGAGCCAGACAGTTTTGTTTTGTTTTTTTTTTTAAAGTTAAGGTGGCTGCCTTCTTGTGTCTGTCACATCTAATTATTCAAAAGATTACTGCCAAGGTTGAGCCATGCTTTTAAGGGTCAACCACTACATAATTACCAACTCCATCATTATGAATATGTACCTGTGGTTCCATCAGTGCCTGTGGGTCTATCACTACCACAGGTAGTAGCTAAATTTTGTAGCATTTGGTTTCATTCTCAGTAATTGGGAAAGTATCCTTTGAGGTTTTAGCAATTACCCAAAGCATATGCTGTTTTTCCAACAACATCAAATAGATTATGTAGACTTTGTTACAAGAATTTTGATGCTGTTCTGTTACTTGCCCTCCCATAATTTTGAATTAAAGATGTAATCAGGCACTGAATAGAACTGTTGATATGCACTGTGCATGTCAATCCTCTCTGTGTTATGCATGAAGCAACTTTGTGTGTTTGTGTATATGGTCTGACTTCTTCCATAAAGTAATTCTTAGACTAGATTGAGGTTTTATATGAAAAATTTTATGAGAATATATTTTTTCTGGTTGCATGAGAGGATGTTCAGTCTGATTAAATTGTCCCAGAACATGAGGTTACTACTTAAGAGATTTACCGTAACCTTATGTAACTTCATTCATTATTGGTCTAATTTGCTAAAAAAGCTCTGCCTTTACTGACAAATGGAAATATTCAGGCTTAAGCCTTTTCTTGCGAAAAAAAAAGAGAGAGAGAGAGAGCGAGAAAGAAAAGAAGCTTTATTATCATTTTACATTCAAGGGCAATCTCTTTTTTTTACGTATGAAAGTAAGTGAGATCCATCTACTACTTTGAAAATGAAGAAAGTTGAGATCATTGACAATGAACATACTATAATTTTAAATTTAAATGTTTAATAGTTTACTTATTATAATTTATTTATAAGAATTACTGTCTTTAAACTACTATTGGCTTACTAGTTGTTGTTTTTTTGTCACATATAAAATGCTTTACTGGTTCCAGTTAGTATATTTATTCAACTGCCAATTAAAGATTATCCCTGTGTAAAAAAAAAATGAATAAAACAAACAACAAAAAAAATCATCCTGTAGCAGCTCAATTTGAGCAAAAAAAAATTTAATTATCTAACAACTATGTGGTTGAGATGTGGCTGGTGGGTTCATCTCATCATACAGTTCGAATATATAGCCAGCATCACCCATTTAGTCCCTGCAGTGGCTGAAAACCTGGCAAGGCTTTTTCTAACCTGCTTTTCTCCTTGAAGATATTTGCTTACATTGTCAATAGGCTAAGGGGGTTGTTTTGAAGCCTGGATTTTGAATTTCAACTGTCAAGCATAGTCTATTAATGTAGAAGGTTTTAAGTTTATAGTTTCCTCAATGAATGCATTTTAAAATGGTACAGATAACTCTATATAATATCCTCCATATGAATTTAGTTTATATGCTAGCAAAATTTAAATGAGATTTAAAAAATATTCTGGTTGCTCTGAGGAGAAATCACTCAGGTAAATCTAGAAAAATAAAACAGTAAATTGCAATATGCATTCTGTTCATCTGCTTCAGTTGTGTACTTGCTTGAAACTAATTTGCTGGCTATGTTATCACTTCCCTTTAAAATGGTCTTTACTGAGTAGAGAAAATATATCTGTAACTTTTTGTTAATTGGCGCATAAGTTTTAAACACAGAAGACTTCATCACGAACACATAATTTGGTAGTAAAATTTTTTTAGCATCAAATGTAACTACTTTATAAATTTCATGCTCAGCAAAACATTTGATTATTTGAATAAGTTTAAGGAAAAACACTTTTTTAATGTTGTTTCTGACTATTGGACTAGTTTTTAAAACTGGTAGCTCATATCTGTCATAGCTTCTCCCAGTTTCTCAGGAACTTTACACGCTTGTGTACACCCTTTCCCTCTGAACTGGATCCTGGCCCCCATCATGCTCTTAAATGTCCCATTTAAGATAAAAAATAGATTTCCATAACTTTACCTTCCCCAACTCTTCTATCACCTTCTTCTTCCTTCCTCTTTTACACCCAAACTTTTTGTAAATAGCTATCTATAACTGCTGTTATGTCCCCACATCCTCATTTTCTATGCATACCTTTCTCCTGAGGGTCTAATTCTATTTCAAGTTTCAGCCCTCCACGAAAATGATTCCTCCTAAGACCAACAATGGCCTGTATTTCTAATCCAATGGGATTTCTGAGTTTTCATTTTCATGCCTTCTCTGGTGCATTCCAAGCTATTGATGATTTCTTCTTTGAAACACCTTGTTCCTGTAATCCAACACAGGGCACAATACTGGTTTCTTTCCTAATCCTGGGTTTCCTTTGCTGCTCACTCATCTACCTACACTTCCAATGCTGGAATTCCTTGAGCCTCCGGCATATGTTTCTGTACCAGCTCTCTTCTTCCTCTAAATGTTTCCATTCACAACCATGACTACCATTGTTATGTCTGTGTTAATAATGCTCAAATATATACCTCTAAATCAAAACACTTCACTCATGTCCAAACCTAAATTTCTCCTCAGAATGTCTCATAGTTTTTGCCTAAATTTATTATATCCCAATAAGTACCCCATCTTCTTTCACAGACTTCTGTCTTTTCCATCTTCGCCATCTCTTTACTGGTTCCAGTTAGTATACTTTACTGGTTCCAGTTAGTATATTTATTCAACTGCCAGTTAAGGATTATCCCTGTACGAAAATAAATACAATGAATAAAACAAACAACAAAAAAAAATCCTGTAGCAGCTCAATTTGAGCAAAAATATGCCATCTCAGTAAGTGGCATATCCACCTTTGGTTGCTCAAGCCAGAAACCTAGAAAACATTTGTTCACCTTTGTTCTTTCGTTTAGTCTCCAAAGACATATACAATTTCTTCCCATTTTAAGTACCATGTCTAAAATGTTTCAAATGTTGATATGGTTTGGCTGTGTCCCCACCCAAATCTCAACTCCAGTTGTATCTCCCAGAATTTCCATGTGTTGTGGGAGGGAGTCAGGGGGAGGTAATTGAATCATGGGGGCTAGTCTTTACCATGCTATCCTCGTGATAGTTAATAAGTCTCACAAGATCTGATGGGTTTATCAGGGGTTTCTGCTTTTGCTTCTTCCTCATTTTTCCTCTTGCCACCACCGTGTAAGAAGTGCCTTTTGCCTCCCACCATGATTCTGAGGCCTCCCCAGCCATGTGGAACTGTTAAGTCCAATTAAACCTCTTTTTCTTTCCAGTTTCAGGTATGTCTTTATCAGCAGCATGAAAATGAACTAATACAAATGTATATGTATTTTAGAAAAATTGAAAAGGAAAATTCCCTTTTATATTTACCCACATATTTACCTTTTCTAATGCTCTTCATTTTTTTCAGAAGTTTTGAGCTCATTTGGTATTAATTCCCTTCAGTTTGAAGAACTAACTTTAGCATTTCTAGTAATATAGGTCTATCTGTACATATCTTTATTTTGCTTTCATTCTGTAAAATATTTTTTGTTGAATACATAATTCTAGCTGGATTGATATTTTTCTTTCAGTGCTTTAAAGATGTTGATTTATTGTCTTCTTGCCTCAATTGTTTCTGATTATTCTCTTCTATGTAATAGGTCAATTTTCTCTTGCCCATTTTAATATTTTCTGTCTTTGTTTTTTAGAAGTTTGACTATGCTGTGCCTAAGTTTGGCTTTGTTCTACTTAAACTGCTTGGGATTTACTGAACTTCTTAAACCTGTAAATTTGTGTCTTTCACCACATTGGGGGAAATGTTGGCCATTATTTCTTCTGCCTCATTCTCTCTCTACTCTCATTCTTGCATTGAAGACATTTATATTACAACTTTTGGTATCAATGCTCAGCTTCCTGAAGCACTGATTTTTTTAATGTTTTTTCCACTTTTTATATGTAATATGTTTTATCTCTCTTGAAGTTTACTGATTCTTCAGTCATTTTATTCTGCTATTAAGTTCAAATATACAGTATTAGATATTTTAAATTTTACTCATAGACTTCCATTTGTTTCCTTTATTATAATTTCCATTTCTCAGTAATATATCTTCTGTATTAATTCATTATAAGCCATTTTTTCCCTTGATATCATGAGACTAGCATGGTAAATATTTTAAAATAGTGTGAGCTAATTCTAACATCTGTGTCATCTTTGGATCATTCTCCCTTGATTTTTTCCCCTGAAAATTGCTCATATTTCTCTGTTTCTTCTACTATCTAGTAATTTTTTATCGTATCCTTGACATTTTCAATGTTATGTTACCACTTCTTGGGATTCTGTTAAATTCATCTCAAGAGTGTTGAATTTTGTGTATTTGTTGTAACAGCCAATTAAGTTAGATTCAAGGCTGCTGTTCTTGTGCAGCAGCTTAAATTTTTGTTATGTTCTTTTAATCTTCTACAGGCTTCTTGGAGTCTGTTCATGCATATATGATTTGAGGTTCAGACAGAAATTTGGGGAGAGTTTATTTACAGAATTTTATGCATTGCCTCTATAGTTCTCTCCTCTCCAGGATTCCCCCTTACAAAATTTCTAGTAGCTGAGGCAGCCCCTCTCAAGTCAGAAAGTCAAGATTTTTTAACAGTGATTTTAGTTATCTCCATGACTCCCAGTGCAGTCCATACACATACGCAAACACACACAGAAACTCACCAGTGCCATTCTCTTCTCCCAAGAATTGACAACCCTATAATAGAATCTTCCACTGGTTATATTTCAGTGCTTTTGAGCAGTTGTTTCTTAAATTTTTTCATGTGTTATAGTTATCTGTGAGAGGATCAGTACAATAAGAGCTTTTCTAGTCATTACTAAAGGTAAAAACTAAACTCTGCAAATATATTTTAGCCACTTTGTATACATTTATAATACTTAAAGAGATAATAAAAAGAAAAGGTTTTGGAGAAGAAATCTCAAGATTGTGATTTTTTTGGAAATAAATATTTTACGGGAGGCATGAATGATGATTTAGAGTTCTCTGAGCTTATAATAAATAACCTCAGATTGGTTTGGTTTTTAAGTTCTAGAATTAACATGTATAACTTTCCTAGTGCCACTTATCACCCTCCTATTTTATTGGTGTATCATCAAGCCAGTCACTGAACATTTACAGGTTTTTAAAAAGAATGTATTGTGTCTAGTCTATAACAGATTTAGGAAACGAGATAATAGAGCTTGATAGAAGTGTATCTAAAATAATAAGTATTTTCACAGTAAGATCACAGGAAACTTTTCTTTAAATAAAATTCATATTCTATCTGACTTCAAAATTTTCATTATGTTTGGTAAAAACAAAATTAGAAAACATTTCTTGTAGTTTGTGTGTATGCAATATTTATGACTTATGGTAATTTTCTCTTCTAGTCATTCATGTTATTAATAGAAAAACCTTACCAAAATGAGGCAAATATATACTACAGGATAAGGTCAGAAAGTATAACTATCTAAAACTGGTACTAACAAAAGTCAGCATGGTGAATGGAGATAGTTTACTTTTTAGTTGATGAGTTTAAGAAACCTTCCTAAATATCATCAAAATAACTACTAAAATATCATACATAAAATACAATATTTAAATTGCTAATATTTTAATGACATGAAAATGCTTGGAGCACAGCAGAAAGCAAATGGAACATATGAATTTCTGGCTTTTCACATTATTTTCTAGAAAGAGAGACAACGAGCTTCAGACATGCTTTTAGACCACTTGACAAAAATTATATGTATACAAACATTGCATATGAAGTCTGCTTTAGCTTGTTAACATTCTTTATAATGACCATCATATACTATTTATTCTGCCTGCATGCCTTCATGCAACTTGCCAGTTCATTCGCATCTGCTTGTCAGTTTCATGATTTTTTGGAAAATTAGCTGTTGAGATTTTGAATTAAATAGCCATTCCCTATGAACTTACATGGTGTTTATCAGTCCCTTAAAATCCAATTACACATACTGTTTATGTCTGCAAAGCTTTGAACCATACGTTATACTATGGGAATTCAATTTATTTGTGACCAGTCTACCACTCCCTACACACAAAGCACAAATCAAAATAGGTTAGCCTTTATTTATAGCATCTTTACATTCCTTAATTTCCATCCAAACAATCTGAATATACACATTTTGGCATAATCTGTTAACAAACAAATTAATGATGCCCCCCAAAAAACACACAGTTGAAATAAGAATAATTTAAAAGTTTATTCATTCATTGTCCTCAAATTTATTTGGATTACCTGAGGTCTGGAGTTTGAGACCAACCTGGCCAACATGGTGAAACCCAGTCTGTACTAAAAATACAAAAATTAGCCATGCGTGGTGGCACGTGCCTATAATCCCAGCTACTCGGGAGGCTAAGGCAGGAGAATTGCTTGACCCCAGGAGGCAGAGGGTGCAGTAAGCCGAGATCACGCCATTGCACTCCAGAGCCTGGGCAGCAGAGCAAGATGTTGTCTCAATAAATAAATAAATAAATAAATAAATAAATAAATAAATTGCTGCTCTAGCTGGTGTTTTTTAAAGCTCTTGTTGCTGGAGTGTTTGTGTGTCAGGTGTGTATGTTTCTGAGTGTGGTGTGTTAATATTGTGAAGTCTGAAATATTTTCTAAGAGGTGGTTTGAGAATGAAACAGAATTCTGCACCTTTGACTCAACAGAAAATCATAGTGCTCAGATGCAAGTCCCTCCAAAGCATGGCTTCACCATGGCAGTCATCTGGAATTGTTGTAGGGACATGCTAGGCTAACATGTAGCAAAACAGATCTTGGGGTGAGAACTTATGTCTTCCCCATCCATAGCAGAAAGCTAGACTTTAGTTTTTTTAAGCTGTTATTTGCTATTACTTTGAACTCCCTGTAAAATTTATGTAAAATTTCACATAAAAAGTATTTTCTGAGAACAATTTATCCATGTTGGGAAATGCTTACTAGAGATATAAGTACTATTGTTTGTTTTCCTGATCTTATAAAGTAATTCAGCAGAATTGCTTTCTAGGGGATTCTTTCCTTTGTTTCCACTCTAGTGGAAAGAAGGCACCAGAGAGTGAAATCCTGTTGTCTGATTGATGAGATTCTGTTCCGGCTGTGACAGTGCATAACTCCTCTCATTGCCCTATCTGTTGACCCCCAGAGAGGCTAAAAGTAGCACAACCTTGGGATATAAGAAGGTTTTTGTTTGGTTTTGTTTTTTTACTAGCACTGTTTACAAAAATAGGAACCATCAGCAGCCTTAGGGTGAAAAGTGAAATGTATCTTTTACCCAGAAAGTTAAGGAAAAAATTGGTGGGGTCAGATTGCTTAATGGGGCTAATAAAGCAAATGCCACTAGATTTGGCTCCTATATAAGACACATACAAATATTTTGTTTTCCCAAACCAAAAACTGAGTCCGTAACTATAGACTATAATCAACTTTTAAATCTTACTCACTGATTGCAAGCAGAACCAGGGGAGACTTTGATTACTCACAGCTTAATGTTATTTGTCTTCCTATACTGGAAAACAACTGCAATTTCATTTTTCACTGATGGAATTGATGGCTTATTTTTTAAACTTCTGTTTTGAAGCATAGAACATATGTAGTGCTGATTATGGGTCACCAAGTTAAAAATGTAACATTAGGTATTGAAGGACTTAAAAATAAGTAAAATGAAGATTAAAGATGGTATGTCATTTTAAATCAGTAAGTTTTTCTTATCTTTTATAAGAAGACTAATTCTACAACAAGTCCATAAATACAGTTTTAAATGATATCCTTACAAAAAGGAACCAAACCGAGGAGATTTTGTTGGTTGAATTTCTCCACATATTACATTATGTGAATTAAGACAGAGTTAGGAATCAGAGGTTTTCTTTTTTGGAGGAAAAGAAATAAGTCTAATTTTTTTTAAAGTTATGTTTTTTCTTTATCTGTTACTTAGGTATTTCCTAATTTTTTCCTTATAAAATCATAAAGGTGTTATTTGAGCTATTTGGCCAATTCATTAAAGATAAATAGTTTATATGTTTAATTTCAAAATGAGAATTACATTTATTCGCTTTTTCACTATTTACTGAATTATATCAGGTAATTTGAGAGTCAACAAAAGTATTATTTAACAGATTTCGTAGCCGTAGACTAATTAACCCTAAAAAGAAAGTTTAATGGAAAACAAATGAACAAAAGAGCCAAGAAATATTATTTGAAAACTGATCATTTTCCACTAATATTAATTCGTATTTTATTTTATTTTATGTTTTTTGAGACAGTCTCACTCTGTCGCCCACGCTAGAATGCAGTGGCACGATCTTTGGTCACTGCAACCTCTGTCTCCTGGGTTCAAGCTATCCTCCTACCTCAGTCTCTCAAGTAGCTGGGACTACAGGTGTGTGCCATCACGCTGGCTAATTTTGATATTTTTTGTAGATATAGTGTTTCACCATGTTGCCCAGGCTGGTCTCACATTCTTGGCCTCATGTGATCTGCATAACTTGGACTCCAACTGCTGAGATAACAGGTGTGAACCACCATTCCTGGCCCTTAATTCATATTTTAAAAGAAAAATTTCAAAAATCTCAAGTAAGAGCTTTTTTTGTTTCCAGAGAATATATTAGGAAAATTTGAATTATTATTTTTACTCTCATTATTTTAGTATAGTTTGTCCATTTCAGAACAAATAAATTATATAAAAACCACCAGACAATTCTGTTCATTTTGAATGATACCACATGTCTGAGACCAGGCCAGAACTGGAACACACCACACAAGAAGGGTAAGATTGAAGCTTATCCTATAGCTTTTGATAAAGTGTATTTATTCAGCCTATACTTTATATTAAAACACAACATCCATTAGAATTATGTTGTTCTATAAATGTTATATTAAAAAGCAATGTAATTTGCTAGTTAATTGTTTCAGGATTTGTGATTGAAATCACAAATTTCAGAATTTGTGGAGTCGTCTTTCTCTGTGAGTCACTAATTTTACAAGACAGCAATCTGAGGTGCTTTAGAAAAAAATCATACCCAAGAACATGTAAGTAGTCATGGCTACCTGAGGAGAAGGGAAGCCAGACTGGTTTTCATAGAAACAACTAAATTTCCCTTTGTCCCCAGCCAATTTCCCCCCTGATTCTCAATCTAAGGGGATTAGTAGAAAACCAACTAGATTATAAATGAGTAAATGAATTTAGATTTTGCCTAGGCTTTCATTTTTCAGAAAGATTTCTTTGACTTCCAACTTGGGGAAATTTACCTCTCATATATGCCTACTGCTGGAAGATAGCAGGCATCATGTATTATTTCTTTGTCTCTCTTCATTTATTACAATAAAGTAAATGAGGGGAGAAGCTATATCTTAGTCATCGTTTACTCATTTCTGTCCTATTTATTCATCAATAAATATTTGCAGAGTGCCTACTATGTGTTAGGCATTAAAGTGAGCTGTGGTAAAGAGAGGAAAGGGTGGGAGGACAGATACCAGATATCAGTAAAAGAAAGATATTAGGAGAACTTTGTGATTGATTAGATGTGGGTGGCTGAGAGTAGTAGCGAAACCCAGGGTGACTCCCAAGTGCCCAATTTTGTTGCTTGTATAGATGGTCAAATTAGTGACCTAAAGAAAATGTACGGAGAAGCTTATGGAAGATAGGGTAAGAAAAATAAGAAAACAATTAGTTCTGTTTGTGCCTGTAAAATGTCTGTGAAACATCCAGGTGAAAAAGATTTGTGAGCAATTGCAAATGTGGGGCTAGATCATAGGAGTGTTGCCAAAGCTGGATATGCAGTCCTTAAAAGATCCCTCTAAAAAAGGATGTGGTTGGTATAATCTAAACAACTGCAGTCAGAGAAAGAGAAGGATCATGCAGGAGATCAAGATACCATGGAGATCAAACAAGGAATGTGTGTTATAGAACACATGTAAACAGAAGTTGCATTGGGGTGAAAAGGGATGAGATGAACTACACCTAATAATGAACAATTTTTATCAGATTTATAGTTTGCTACGTATAGAATACCAGAGCTTAACGTGCCTGGGATTATACAAAACCCAATTAAGTGACAAGTACTTTTTAACAACTTACCTGTTCTTAGACAAGTCTTTTATTGTCTCCTTCTCATGTTTTTTCTTTATTTGTAAAAATGAAGATATTTGATAAAATGATCAGAAAGCTGTCGCCTAACATTAATATATTACATACAGTATTAGAGGTATAAAGGAAAGCGTTCTTGGTCAGAAGCAATTTCCTAACAAAAGTAGACAAATATAGCCATTGTATGTCAAATACATATTATATATAAGAAAATCAGCCATGTAAGGAAATACTGAAATAGTACAACTAGGAAAGTTACAAAGTAACTACTACCATTTTTGCTCTACTGGATGAATTACTTTTGTTACATATACTTTTTATATATAATTTTAGTTATATATATATATTTATTTATATAAACTGGGAAATCAAATCAAGAATATCTATGATCCGGATATCTGTGATATTCCCTTTCACCAGCTACATCTAAATGGCATGCTGCCATACCCAGGATTTTAAAGAAAAAAATGTTTAAATCTCAATAATTTAATTTCAGATGACTGAAAGGTCAGTGAATCAAATTATTACTAGTCAATATTAATACATATGGTCATGGGAGGAAATAGTCTATTGATTGATTTCTACACACCTAATTGAAAAATATTTACCAAAACTCAAGCTTTCTGAGCCAAAGTCAATGTGGATGACTTTTGGAATGTCCTTGGTACCATGAAGATCTAAGGATATTAATACATAGTAATACGAGGGTCAGGCCAATCAAAGGAGACGACAGAAGAGGAATCATTAACATCCAAAGGCATTTTTACACTGTGATAATTATCCCCATTTGCTCAGGTTAATATGCTTTCAATGGAAACATGTGGAATAAACAGCTGTCATGGACATGTGCCACCAGAAGAAAAGCTCTTCTCAGCCAGAAAAACAACTGGGAAGTTAGTGAACCAGTACATGCTCATACCTTAGGAAAGCAAATACTTTTCACTGAGCCCATAGACAAAATTAAAGTCTGGAAGAATTCTTTTTTTTTGGTGGGGGATAGGAAATAATACAAATCTTGAAAACATTCTAAAATATTCAGATAGGTTCCATAAATATTTGTTCAAAAATTAAAATAGAATAACCTTTTATTCATTGTTCAATTTTTATCTATCAAATCTCGAATTATGAAAACAAACTACACTATGCTTTACATAAGGGAATAGAAATAAAAGTAGGCATAGTCTGGTAATACCAAATCTTGCATCCTTAATGCATCATGAAAAGATGCTTGTGGATGTTTTGTCCAAATGGCTGGCATCAACACCCACATACAAACTGCTCCTGCTCAAAAAAATGCCCTTGTTTTTCTCTGAGTACAGCATTGATATACATTTGGAAGAAATCTTATTATAGTCCTGAAAGAAAGCTAGTAGATAATCTAGTTTATTTTTGAGATTCCAGACAGAACTACATTGTGTGTGTGTGTGTGTGTGTGCGCGCACATCCACATGTGTGTGACAGAGAGAAAGAGTCCACTGCATAACCAAAAAATATGAATTTGGTTCCTAGAATGCAAAAAAATATATCTAACCAGTACATTTTAACCCAGAAATGTTCAATTTAAGCATTAGGTCTATAATAATAAGTGGAAACGTTTGATCAACTATCATTTATTCATTTATTTAATAAATATACACATAGTAAATATTTATTACTATTATCATCTGTGTTATTGTATGAAAATCATTATGTTAATGAAATTATATATTTACATACTTCGGTTTTAGATTAAGCAATATGATATTGCCTGTAAGTGATCATTTTTACCTCAAAAATGACTGTTTCATATTTTTCTGCCTAGTATTTGATTTAATCACTGAATAATGATATATGTTAATTCAACAGCTTGTAAGGTCAATTTAGTAAAAGCACAAATTTATATGAATGAAAATAATGGCCTGCAAAGTTAAGATTTGACTCTGCTGTAGAAATGGACACAAATTACATCAATTTACCAAAAAGAATAGTTCTTACAATCAGAGTTAAGCAAGTACTTGCTCCTCTTGGTGGTTTACCAACTGCCAAAATAACAGCAAGATCAGATTTCTTCATAGAAAGTTATTGGTATGAAACTTTTTGGATTAAACAGTTGTTTCTGTAACTATTAACTAAATCATTAAAAGGGTTAGCCTATTTATAGTAACCTTGAACCTTTTTAAATTTAATGTTTTCAGATGAAAGCATTGATCCTTCCATGCTTCATAAAATGGCATCCCACTGGGCAGTGTCATTAGTGATAGTCCTACTGGGAGAGACACCCGTCCAAATTATTGAATGAAGAGCCTAATATAGTGAAAGATACTTCTAAAGTGCAGCTTGATGTTTTAAAAATGCTTTCATACATAATGGATGCCTACTGTACTCAGCTATTTGAGGTGTTGTAGCACTTACTGAATTTTCACATAAATTGCTGCTCTCTGAATAAGACTATTGTACCAGTTTATAAGGCTTGATATATTTTCTACCTTCCAAATGGGCATTCAACGAACTTAAATTTTATCTTTATATTGTACTTAACTGTAACTCAGTAATTTTTCTTAAAGGAGGAGAACAAATTGTACAATACAGTCCATATTAGAAGGAATTAGCTTTTGTTTTTAAAAAGAAGAGAATGTGTTTTATATCATTTGACATTTTCAACTTATAAATTTTAGCAAGCATGCATCCATTATAATTACACTGGTTTTTTACTATGTAATTTACCACAGAACAGAATACATATACAGACAGTTAAATTAATTCATTAGATAGGGGACATATAGGAAAGTCAGCTTCTTATAGTTAACCAATCCAAATATATTCATAAAAATATAGATGGAAAACTTGATTCAAGAAATAGTTTCCATTTATCTTTCAACAGTAGTTTTCAAATTGGTTAGCATAAGGTCCAACTTTAAATGGATGAATTATGTTTTGAAAATAAATACTTGCATTTAAATGATTATTTTCAGCAGTGAATTATTCTTCGGCTATCTCTCTGCACAGAGCATAAGACATTTATTTATTTATTTATTTATTTAGACGCTTTGCTAGGCTAAGATTCAAAATGGGTTACTAGTGAAGGAAGAGGAGTTTTGCCTAGTTTGGCAAGAGATTTATCTACAAGCTCTATAAAAAGACAAGTTTTTATTTGGTGAAACCAGTTAAGATGCAAGAGTTGGAAATTTTTGAGTTGGAGTAACTATTTTTTAAAAAAACTAACCATGAAAAAAATTCTGGGGTCTGTTGTCATTTTGGATAACAAGGATCCGTCCCATTCTATTCTCCCATCTACATCCATCTCCCAGATCCTTATAGAGAGTTATGCCCAAGGGAGATTCCAGGTAAATTAATAATTTTATTACCAATTATAGTCTACTCTTAAATCTTTCTGTGATTCCTGCCCTTGGCTAGCTGCACAGAACTTCCATCTAATAGATGGAGTGTACATCTAACATAAGGCCAAGACTAAAATCAAATTTGTGGAGCCAACTCCATGTTTCCTTCTCCCTAGCTTATGTCACAGGTTTATAAGAAGAAAATGAAGTGTTTCTGCCCCCAGGTTCTATCAGCTACACTGGAGGAATAGAGAAAAAAAATGAAAATGGACAAGTAATCTAAGAGTTGTAGGAGATGTCAAAATAGGAGGACTAGAAACAGAAGAGTTATCAAGTTCTTTTTCTTTCACCAGAAATTATATTCTCCTAGCAATTATGACTTTGTCATGGCTAACATTAGTACCTCTTAAGAGTAAGTATAGGGTCAGAGAGGGTAGAAGGTAAAACTGAGTTTTTTGTTCTAACCCCAGAAGTGAGACTACAAAGACTTTCAGCGAGAAAACAAAACCAGCTCAGGAGAGCTAATTATTTACTAGAGAAAGGCTAGGTTGCTGGTTTAAGAAGAGTTCCCAGATTGAGCCAACAATGACCAAGGGGCTTGCATGAGAGTTCCTAGATTGAGCTACTGTTACAGTTTGGATTTTTCAGTCCTCCAAATCTCATTTTGAAATATGATCTCCAATGTCGGAAGTGGGACCCCATGGGAGGTGTTTGGGTCATGGGGGTAGATTTTTCATCAATAGATTAATACCCTCTCTGGGGATTGGGGGCTGTGAGTGACTTTTTACTTTTGTTAGGTCCTGGGAGAACTGCTTGTTTAAAAGAGCCTGGCACTTTTCCCAACCCTTGTTTTCCTGTCTCACCATGTGATCTCTGCACACACTGGCTCCCCTTCCCTTTCTGCTGTGAATGGAAGCAGCTTGAGGCCCTCACCAGATGCAGATGCTGGGTCCATGTTTCTTATACAGCCTGCAGAACTGTGAGCCAAATAAACCTCTTTTCTTTATAAATTACCCAGCCTAACAAACAGACTAAGACAGCCATCAGTGGTCAAAGAGCTTGAACAGGATGCCACCAGCCTGAATATAAAGGCCAATCCAGGCAGAAATGGAGACCAGGAGAGCTCCATTAAAAACTAATAAAGCTTTAATTTAGATACAGGTACAGTAGCAAAGGTGGAACTGTGAGGTACAAATAAATGGGAACATTACTACAAATTTGGATAAAGACATTTTAGAGGAATCTAAAGAAGAATAAATCTATTAAACAGCTTTTACACTAATGTGTGGGAAAAGAGTGAATTCATGAATTTCAACAGAAAACAAAGTAAAAGAGAGACAGGAAGGAAGGTAGGAAGGAAGGAAGAAAGGATGGAAGGAAGGGGAAGGGAAGGGGAAGGGAAGGGGAAGGAAAGGAAAGAAGGGAAGGAAAGAAGGGAAGGGAGGGAGAAGGAGGGAGGGGAGGAAGGAGGGAAGGAAGGAGGGAATGAATGAATATGTAGACCTGTGATTAAGATAGAGTACAGGATGTTAATGCTTGATTGATGTGGTAAACGGGTCGATTCACCTTGTTGGACTCCCGTATTCTCTTCTGCAAAATGCAAGATTAGATTGAACCTGGATGATTTATAATGTTCCTTAAGGATTTAGGAACTTATGATTCATGATACTAAACCAAGTTGAATAATGGATCCATTTATCTGTTACAAACTTGTTTAAAGCATGAGAGTTTATCACAAAGATAAAATTTTGGTTAAGAGTATGTTATACAACAAAGGCATCCATGAAGGTGGACTGAAGAGTATTAAAGGGAAAAGTTGAGATCCAAGAACATAAAACCCTGATTTCACAGATGGTAGTAATGGAAGTTCATCCCTGAAGAGTTTTCTGTTGGAGAGTGTTCTGCTCAAAATCAATGCATCTCAAATTTAATGTGGATACAAATCATGTGCAAATATTATCAAAATTCGGATTCAGTAGGTCTTAGAGGGTGCGGTGCCGAGATTTTTATTTCTAACAAGCTCCAATTTTATATCAATAAGTACCACTTTGCTTTCATATCCAAGTATATATTATATTCCAATGGCTTACAGTGAAAAAAGCAAATTTATGTATACCATAATTGTTCAGTCAAAAGTCAGACTTTTGGCCATGTTGACAATGATAGTTATCCAGAACTAGTTTTGTATGAGCTGATTCATTCTCTTAAATACAGGACAATAGTTATGATCACATATCATCAAAAATAGGATAGATTATATTCAACATATTATCAAGTTTGATGGATAAATCAGTGGAGCATTCAATGCCTTTTAGAAAAATTGTCATCTAAAATGTCAAAGCATGTTTTGTTAATATAATTATATAATTAAATGGGTATATTTTAGGTATTTTGAAATCTTTTTCATCCAGGACATTATATCATCCAGGGAAAAATACATAGCAGAGGTACCAGTGTAAATACACATTTTTATGCTGCCTTTAGGCATAATTCAATATATTTTATTGTACTAAATGGAAGCTACATTCTCTGAACACTATCCTGACATAGAGAAAAAAATATATTCCTGTTAAAAATATAAAATTGATCTGGATATTCTTTGTTACATATTACTTGAACCTGTTCATCTCTATCACCATTTACTGATTTTCACCTGTGTTATTTTTCACATTCCAGTCATGCCACTAACACTTTAGAAAGTAGAATTAGTGCTGCTGCTGTTAGTTCCTACCATTCAGATCTGATTCCAATGTACATTTTAAGATATTTTGTTTACCTAGCAAAGTAACTAAGAAGTTTGGAGAAGTGAGGCTAAAAAAATGTATTATGTCTTAGGCTGCAAGTGGCCTCTCTTGCAGAAGTTTTTCTTTGTTGAGAGTTTCTAGGTTGCAAGTGTCTTCCTTATTGAGGCATTGCAGACAAGTTTTTATTATCTCACATTTTCTAAATACCAACTGTTTGAAGTGTCTTCCATTCCTACCCTTTCACAAGCATTCAGTTGATGCCTTGTACTAGAAGAGTGACGTCAAGTGACTGTGCTGAATAAAATAGCTTTAACCGTTAAGGAAAGAAACTGGTGTATAAATAAAGATATCTGTTCAGATTTCCTTTGTACCGCCGAATCCTCTTAGCCTGTAGTACTTTTGAAAATAGAAGTAAAAGTATTGTTCTTTCTTTCTTAAGTACACACTTGTGTTCTATGAGTCTTTATTTTTTGTATATTTTCTGTTCACATTTGAAGCACTGTGTATGTATGTGTGTGTGTCTGTGCATGTGTGTTGTTTGTGTGCTGTTTGGGAGGCATAGTTGGGAAGAAAGCATGTTATAGATTAGGATTTAGGATATGGTTTCTGAACATTCTCTTGCCCCATGCAAGTACAAACTCCAGCAAGGTAGTCAAATCTTAAAGCTCCAAAATTATCTCCTTTGACTCCATGTCTCACATCTAGGTCATGCTGATCCAAAAGGTAGGTTCCCATAACCTTGGGCAACCCTTCCCCTGTGGCTTTGCAGGGTATGGCCCCCTCCTAACTGCTTTCATGGGCTGGCATTGAGCAGCTTTTCTCGGCACACAGTGCAAGCTGTGGATGGATCTACAATTCTGAGGGCTGCAAGATGGTGGCCCTCTTCTCACAGTGCCCCAATGGGAACTCTGTGTGGAGTTCCAACTCCACATTTCCCTTCTGCACTGCCCTCGCAGAGGTTCTCCATGAAGGCCCCACCCTTGCAGTGAACTTCTGCCTGGACATCCAGGCATTTCCATATATCCTCTGAAATCTAGGCAGAGGTTCCCAAACCTCACGTCTTGACTTCTGTGCACCTGCAGGCTGAACACCACATGTAAGCTTCCAAGGCTTGCACCTTGCACCCTCTAAAGCCACAGCCTGAGCTGTACCTTGGCTCCCTTCAGCCATGGCTGGAGTGGATGAGATTCAGGACACCAAGTCCAAAGGCTGCACAAAACAGCAAGACCCTGGGACCAACCCATGAAACCATTTTTTCCTCCTAGGTCTCTGGGCCTATGATGAGATTGGCTGACGCGAAGGTCTCTGACATGCCATGGAGACATTTTTCCCATTGTCCTGGCAATTAACATTTGGCTCTTCATTACTTAGGCAAATTTCTACAGCTGGCATGAATTTCTCCTCAGAAAATGGGTTTTCCTTTTCTATCGCATCATCAGGCTGCAAATTTTTCAAACTTTTATGCTTTGCTTCTGTTTTAAACATAAGTTCCATTTCCAAATCATATCTTTGTGAATACATAAAACAATGCTTTTCACAACACCCAAGTCACCTCTTGAACACTTTGCTGGTTAGAAATTTCTCCTGCCAGATAACCTAAATCATCTCTCTCAAGTTCAAATTTCCACAGATCTCTAGGGCAGGGGCAAAATGCCACCAGTCTCTTTGCTAAAGCATAACAAGAGTCACCTTAGCTCCAGTTCCCAACAAGTTCCTCATCTCTATTTGAGACCACTAGGCCTGGACTTCATTGTCCATATCACTATCATCATTTTGGTCAAAGCTATTCAACAAGTCTCTAGTAAGTTCCAAACTTTCCCACATCTTCCTGTCTTCTTCTGAACCCCCCAAATGGTTCCAGCTTCTGCCTGTTATCCAGTTCCAAAGTCACTTTCACATGTTTCGGCATCTTTACAGCAGCGCCCCACTACCCGGTACCAATTTTCTGTATTAGTCCATTTTCACTCTTCTATGAAGACATACCCAAGACTGGATAATTTATAAAGGAAAGAGGTTTAATGGACTCACAGTTCAGTATGGCTGGGGAGGCCTCAGGGAACTTACAATCATGGCAGAAGGGGAAGCAAACATGTCCTTCTTCACATGGTGGCAGCGAGAAGAATAAGAGCTGAGAAAAGGGGGAAGCTCCTTATAAAAGCATCGGACCTCATGAGAACTCACTCACTATCACAAGAACAGCAGTATGGAGGTAACCGCCCCCATGATTCAATTACTTCCCACCGGGTCCCTCCCATAACACATGGAGATTATGGTAACTACAATTCAAGATGAGAACTGGTTGGGGATACAGTGAAACCATATCACATCTAAACCAGAAATATCACCTATGTAAATTTCAAATAGCTAAATTAATTTCTGAACAGATTTTTGGTCAGATACTACCAATTCCTTTGTTAATGAAGAAACCTCTTCCCATGGGGTGCCAAAGTAAAAAGACAGAATGCATAATTGCCAAAAAATGTAATGATTAGGAGTGATTTCTCTGACTATTTAAATTTTATTTGCAAGATATCATTAGTCTGTGCTTATTTCCATCTAGCAGGGTATATGGATAGACTATAACCCAACATATGTCAAATAATTTTGGTGGGTAGCTCATTTGAACTAATATGGAAACTCCTCGAAGACAAAAATGTAATAATACATTAGCAATGTAATGCTATCATAAATTAGAAATGAAAAATGTTGTTCTATTTTTGGGGTATTAATTTTTCCTACTGAACATGTACATTCATTCAGAACTGTAGAAACAAAAAAGGGGAAAGAAAAGAAAAAGAAACATAGAAATATGACATTTGTCCTCTAAATTTCACTTTTTCAAAACTTAATTCCAACTTGACTTTAATATAGTTTAGCCATTATAAGCATTCTACCTAATGAATTTTTAAGAGCATTTATATGTAAAGTAGAAAAATTATTGTTTTGATTTTTTTCATTTTCTCAGTTCTGCAAATTAAGTACTTTAGATATTTTTTAGGTTTGATACAAATTAAATTTCAACTTATATGTAAATATTAGGTGTACATTTTATAGTTCTGTTCTCAGCACTGTAGTATGAGGAAAGCACTGTGTTGTATCAGAAGCTATGAATTATACAAAATCAGAATTAACTGCTTGGATAGCCTTTTGCAAATCATTTCACATAATTTGGTCTCTCAGTTCTCATCAAAGAAATTTTCAGAGGCTCGGTCCCTAAATAATAACTAAGTTATAAGAATCTATAGGGGTATGACCATGCTTATGTCAATAAAATAGTAATGATGGTGATAATAATAATAATCACATTTATTAAGCACATTCTGATGTGCCAGGCTCTGGTAAGCAGAATAATGATCTCCCCAAAGATGTCCAGATTCTGTTCCCCAGAACCTGAAATATGTTAATTTACATGGCAAAATGACTTTATGATGTGATTAAGGTTAAGGGCATTGAGATGAGGAGATTATCATGGATTATCCAGTCGGGCTCAACCTAATTACATGAGGCCTTAAAACAGAGCCACTTCCTGGCCGCAGTGAGGAAGACGTAGATACAGTGTGGCTGGTTTTGAAAAAAAAAGGCAGAAAGCAGGACAAGGAACACATGCAGCTTCTGGAAAATGGAAAAGGTAAGAAATTGGATTCTCCCATAGAGTCTCCAGAAAGTAACAATCTGCTGACACCTTGATTTTAGCCCAGTGAGCCCTATGTCAGACTTCTGATCTCCAGGAACTATATGACAATAAATTTGTATTGTGTAAACCACTGTGTTTGTGGTAATTTGTTACAACAGCAATGAAAATTTCTGATGTACCAGGCTCTCTGCTAAGTACTTTATATTAGCTTATTTTTGGCCTCACAACAACTCTAAGAAATAAGGGCCATTATTATCCCCATTATTATTAAGGTTTAGGATATTTTAAGTAGCTTTTCAAGCTCATCACTTGTAAATAGTAAAGCCAGCATACGACCCCAGGACTGCTTTGGTTGGATAAAGATGATGTCCTTAAAATTATTAGAAAACGTATATCTCAAAACAATTTAAGAGTTCTTGTTTTCATTTCCTCTACCGTAGAATGAAACTAATTTTTCTTTACTAACTGCATGCTGAAAAGAAGGGTCAATGAGGAAATCTCTGTGAGACATATGGGCCCAATGGGGGGGAAAAAGCTATTATATACTTTGTGTAAAATTAGTCCTCCTTTTCTTTCTAAAGTCATCAATTTTCTATTTTTCTTTAATCCAATATGTTCAGTATAAAGTCATCAGTTTTCAACCTTCTTTTAATCAGAGGTATTTCCTGGTATTTTATAAGGGAAAAATAAAATGTGACATCACTAACCTGTTATATTGTAGAATATAACAATGAATCTTTTGTTTTATAAAGGGCCTGCCTTCCTTCTTTCCTTCCTTCCTTCCTTCCTTCCTTCTTCTTTTCCCTTTCTTCCTTTCTTCTCTTTTTTCGGCCTAAGCAGGAACTCATTCACCTAAGAAGGAAAACAAAGTTGCTCCCTCTTAAGAAAGACATCCTGCTGATTTTGTCAGACAACAATTCTTTCTTGCTTTCTTTCCTTCTTTCTCTCTCATTTTGTTTCTCTCTTTCCCTCCTTCCCTCCCTCCCTTCTTTCCTTCCTTCCTTCCTTCTTTTTTTTCTAGGGAATGGGTCTTGTTCTGTTGCCCAGGCTGGAATGTAACGTCACGATCATAGCCTACGACAGCTTTGAACTCCTGGGCTCAAGTGATCCCCCCACCTCAGCGTCCTGACTAACTGGGAACACAGGCACCCACCACCACACCTGGCTAATCTTTTCGTTTTTTTGTAGAGATGGAATCTTGCCATGTTGCCTAGGCTGGTCTTGAATTCCTGGCCTCAAGTGATCTTTCTGCCTCAGCTTTCCAAAGTGCTGGGATTATAGGCATGAACCACTGCACCTGGACCACTGTTTTCTCTTTACTCTTATGATGCCCCCATTTATCTTAATCTTATTCTTATCGCAACTCCCAGACACCTCCTGTCCTCTTGGTGCACTAAAGCCTAACTTTCTCTTTGCTCATACAGACTGAGAGAGATCTTTTTGCCCGGAAGCTTTGAACATTTTATAAACTCCTTACCAAAATAACACCACTTAATCTGTGTCATCTGTGGTGACGAGCTTGTGAAAGCTATGTGGACTCTTTGGCACTGCATATGATACCACATTCCACATCAGAAATCTGGAGCATCCAGAAAGTAATTTAGCTCCTTGTTTTCCTCTTTGGTGCTGAAAGCCCTTGAAACCACTTGGGGGCTGCTGATATCTCAGATTCTCTATAAGTAGGAAACTTTTTGATAAAAACTGCAGTACCAGCAGGACCTTTTAGTGTGATGAGCACTAGAAGAATGAACAGGGTGAAATTTGTTTTGTTCCACAAAGGGACAAAAAAAAAACAAAACAAAACATGAAGATGGGTATAGACAGAAAGAGAATCTGTGAAAGATAGAGCCCTGGTTCAAAAAAATGACATATTTAAACTCAGGCAATGAAATAGTGAGACAACAAGTTTTAAAATAGATAACAGCAACATAAATAAGAACTTATTTTTATATGAAGAACCTGAGGTTGTACTTAAAGTATGCAAAGCACGGTGGAATAATACATTTTACACAGCACGCACTCAGAATCCGTTTATGTCTAAAATTAGCAAACAAGATCAAAGTGCCATTTACTACCTATGGCTGCAAATTAATGATTAAAGAAGAACAGGTTGATGGTTCTACCTAAAAAGTAAAAGAAAAGTTAAGGGAATTAAAAATCACAGTATTGTAGAATAGGTCTCAGTTAAATAATGCACATGGATGTTTTCCAAAAGAAAACTAAACTAGTTCTGCTTTCCCTCTCTTGTTTTTTCTTAACTTTCAACAATTGGCTGTTCTCAAAGCCCAAATAGTTCCATTCACTATAAGTTTCAAGTGCTTAGCAAAAATGCTGATAGCTTCAGTTTAGCTGTTTTCGGAAGTATGTGGATTTTTAAAATACTCACTTTTTTCTGCTATCAGAAAACTTAAGGGACGTATGAGAAAATAAATATGAGCCGAAAAGGCCTTTTTCATATGTGAAACATTGCAGAGCATAACAATACGCAAGTTCCCCAATACATTGTAGTTTCCTATAATTAAATACTTATATTCACATAGAGGAATATATCTTACATTTTCAAATTAGGCGAATAATTTTATAGCCAAATCTTTTAGTTTATATAGAACCCAAATGCTTAATATATCTTTGTTATATAATAATATTTTATATTGTGGTCTTAAAGCCATTCAGAAAGGACTAACAGTCATTTCCCCAGAAAAGTCAACTCTGTTACAAGAAGTTACAGAGAGCTTTGCTTCTTATTTTGTAGTGTGCAAAGAAAAAGAGAAAAATGGGATAAGGATGGAGGGAAAGAGGAAGGAAAGTTAATACTTTGAATGCTAACACTAAACAGGCTGTTACAAAAGCGTTCTGTCCTCCTCAGTCACTGAAGAGGAAATGCCTATTTTGTATCTCCCTCATTGTCTTCGCTTTTGCTGGACTTGTCGTACCAGTCACCCCAGAAGTCACTCAGCATGCCCCCTCTCATTCACTGGTTCTCTGCAAGGTCTTTTGACATTCTTGGTGTTAGGCACATTAACAGAACAGAGTGACTGAGGTAGATAAGATTATCTTAAAGTAAATTGTGAGGTGATTTTTTATTAATAGAAGAGTTCCATCCTGAAGAAATTACTTCTCATTCTGCTTGGTGCATTGGTGCAGTTAGATATTCTGATAGTCCAATTGAGGTGTGTGTGTGTGTGTGTGTGTGTGTGTGCATGCGTGTGTGTGTGTGTGGTGGAACGTACAGAAAAGAGACGAAAAAGAGCAATGAAGAAGTGTAATAAAATTAGTCCTCAAATATGGAAAGAATTAAATGGACGTTTCCATCTCTTCTTTCACCCTATTACCTCATTCTAACTATTCTTAGCAGGTAAAGAAAAAACGTCTTTACTCTATTTTTGAATCTAATCAATGCAGAATAGAAAGTTTATGGTACCCTTAAGGAAAAGAATTCATATAAAGTGTATTCTCACCTAAACCCCCAAAACCGTAAGAATGTTTTCTTCTTAGTTTCTTTAAAAAGCTATGAATCATTTTACTAGGAAAATAGGATTTTTAAAAGGTCACAGAATATACTGAAGACAAGAAATAATTTTTCTTTAAATACTATATAGGATGAGGAAATAGAGAAGAAAGAGAAGACTTCCCCAGCCATTTATGATGATAAGGAACTTTAAGTTCTTTTGCCTTCATATTTGTATAAATTTCCTAATTGGCCAACACTACAATTCACAATAACATGAATTATATAATGCATGTAATTTCTTCAGAGAAAATGCCTTACTGGATGTGTATTGTGCACTAGTTAGCCTTGCTTATTATTTTTTTTAAGTGAAACAGCATGGGTTGTTAGCAAATCAAATTTCTTTAAAAATAAATGAGCTTGGATAGTCTCCTGATGTCTACATTCCTCATGGCATAATAAACGCCCATCATGGTTTTGTGGTGACATTCATAGTTTCAAATATTTTGTCCTGCTGTCATGGTAAGTGCATTCATACGTGGAAGATTATATCCCAAGTTTGCATTTAGAAGATATAGTCACTGAACCCATATGTTGCCCATCAAAACTTTTTGGCTCTTACTGTTTGAAAGGGGAAATTGGGGGCCTGGGTGAGGTCGCTCACGCCTGTAATCCTAGCACTTTGGGAGGCCGAGGCGGGCGGATCACGAGGTCGGGAGATCGAGACCATCCTGGCTAACACGGTGAAACCATGTCTCTACTAAAAATACAAAAAATTAGCCGGGCGTGGTGGCAGGCACCTGTAGTCCCAGCTACTCGGGAGGCTGAGGCAGGATAATGGTGTGAACCTGGGAGGCGGAGCTTGCAGTGAGCCAAGATCACACCACTGCACTCAAGCCTGGGCGACAGAGCGAGACTCTGCCTCAAAAAAAAAAAAAAAGGGGGGAAATTGGACTATCCTTTGTGAAGCACCCACCATGTTCCAGGTTACTGATATCGTACATTCATTATCGACTTAATGCTGAAAGATAAGTGTGATTGTCCCTGCTTTACAGTTTGTGAAGTAGGGAGGTGTAGTGGTTAAATATATTCAAAGTCATATGGCTAGGAAGTCTGGTGTCAGGGTTCAAAACCAGGACGTTTGAGTTTCAAATTGCTGGGTTTTTTCCTCCACTCTTTATAGTATTCTGCTTCTGTATTCTGTAGTTTCTGGTCACACAAAACACAATGTAAAATGTCAGCATAAGTGGGAAGTTTTCTAAAAAGTAAATGTGTGAATAATGTGCTAAGAAATTCAGGACCCAGGTCTCAACACTACATAGAGAAGAATAATGACATTTGTCTTGAGTTTGGTATCCTTGACACCACCATGTTTTGTCTGTTAGCCTGCCAAATGTGTGTGTGTGTGTGTGTGTTTTAATCATCTTTCTCTTTATTAGTATAATATAATTTTACCTGCCTTGATATCATGTAGGCATAAGGTATTAGTCTTGTTCCATTTGTAAAGATTCCAGGAGTGTTCTGCTTTTTATAACACTTCAAAGTTTTGTGCTTGGAGCTCCACTATCCAAGAGAGGCAAATGGCTGTTAAGGAATCTAGTAAAACATTCCAATATAAAAACCTTCAGGGGCACATGGTGATCCATTAATAAAACAGAAATTCAAATGAAAACTTTAGTTTAACAATTAAGATGATCCTGACTCCTTGCTAAATTCCCATTGTCTTATGGGATACAAGAATGCAATATGAGATATTGTACAATGCCTTTAGTATTTTTTCTAATAGATTTAGTTCCATCACGAACTGCTAAAACAGTGTGAGAAAATTCTTGAAGAAGTTATATAAATATTAATGTATTTCAGAGTTTTGCTTATTGTATTGATATATGTTCAAAATGATGTATTTTTTCAGCAATACAAAGGATATAACTTATCTCACCTTTCTTTAGGCAAATGAATGACAACAAATTACAATAGTACAATATCACTAGATATCTTCTAAGTTCAGTGATTAAAATGTACCTACTAAAGAGAAATAATACTTTAATCACTGTAAAAACCCAAGCAAAGTAGAATTTTTCAAAGCCCTGTGGAGTGGCAACCCTATATCTTTAATATCTAAGAACTAGAAAATAATTTTAAATATACATATGTTTTATATTCCTTAAGAGCAAGTGACTTTAGGTGAGAGGAGACCAAAACTTAAGTGAATTACCATTTAAAGCAAAAGATCAAACTAGAATGTTAAATTGTAGCAAAAAAGGAAGAAATTATGTGACTCTTTCATACTATAATATTACCAGTTTGGAAAATAGGCCTAGTAATAAAGTTTGTTTTACTAATTCTTTCTAAATTCCAGGCCAAAAATATCATGTAACTTTAACATGGCTTTCATTTCCAGTCATGTACAGAAGAGTCCTTTAATCTTATCTTGCTAAAGAAAAGAAATATTTTTTGCCTTAAAACTGTATTCTATAAATCAGTTCATGTCTGTCTTTCTACATACAAATTAATTTCTGTTTGTTGATTAAAATCTGCTGGGGCGGAGAGGTAGCTGTTTGATGTAATTGGTCTATCAAGTTTAAATGCAAATGATTAAGTAGGGTAAACATTAGCAGGGATGGCAAACAGAACCAAAAGCATTTTCTCATGGTACTCTGCTGGAAAGCTGATGTGATTTCTAGACAGAACAGACAGCTTACCCAAAACTATCTAAGTACAAATATGGCTACCTCTTTCTTCTACATTCTCTCTCACCTGTTCCAATTAGCTGTAGGAATCCTCAGGGAGAACTGCATTTCACAATTAGATTTTAGAATTGCCGTACCCTTAATAAATACGGGAGCCTTTAATGTAATATCTGCTATCTTTTCTTATTTCAATTTACCTCACCTAACAACCACTTTGTTTTCAGAGCCTCTTTGTAGAAGGTCAGTGTGCAGTAGATTGGCTTTGTTCACAGACTACACAGGATCCTCACTGGAGGTTTTGTTTAGAGCTCATATCAGTTAATGTCTCCCAAATTATTTCTTAAGTGTTACACTTGATTTACCACCAGTTTCCACATTATTTCACAATACAAAAACTCACAAAAAATTACCATACTTTCTTCATATTAATACGACAAAGAATGATGAACTTTTCCTGTAAGCCTGCCTGCCTTCTTCTTCCTTCCTCTTTTCTCATCTCCTTCCTAGCTTCTTTCACTCACCATCTCTTCTTTTTTCCCTTTTCTTTCTTTTTTTCTTAGGATTCTGTATTTTTACGATGCAAGCTCTGTTTGTGGTGGGTGTTTAGATGACATTAAAAGATCTCTCTTTTAAAATATTTCCTTTCCAACTTCAGCAACTATGGAGAAAATGCTGATACAATATTTAAAATTTAATATACGAAAGTTAATTTTCTATTACATACTCCATTGCATGTTATAGTAATGCACTTGAAATATATTATCTCCATTTCATATCACCATGCCAAACTTACAAAAATTCAGTATCTTTAAAATACCAAGACTATTTAGAACAAATACATGATGTGGTGTTCATAAAAACAATATTGGATTAAGAGTCACAAGAGTCATTTCCTTAACTTGGTTCTATCTTCAACACTTTAAATTCTCTGGTCCTTAGCTTCTTTAGTTACAGGATGAGTGACTGCAATAAATTATCTCTAAGGTCACTTATCATTTCAAATGTACATCTTGGAATCACTAAACATTTCCTTATAAAAGGGCAATAACAGAAATATTTCCTACAGCTGGAGTCTTCTTATCTGCCAACCTCAACCATTCAGAGCCCAGCTCTGCAGGAAACACCCAGGTTTTGAGCAGTCAAAATAAATGCTGATGTCCATGAACCAAACTTTATTCACAAGGAAACTCCTTGGGCCCCTCTCACAGAGACTGTTTACTCTTTACATTGAATCTCTTTTAAAGTTTGATTATGTTGTTTTCAAAGGCCTGGCATGTTAGTGGCAAACTGGAAAGGGACTATGAGACAATCACAGAAGGGAGCAATAAATGGGCGAGTGCTTCGAAGGCTCTGAGGTGCTGCACAAATGCGGGCTGTTATCATTAGCGAGAGTGACTGACAACTGACAGGAATAGTGAGAGAAAAGATAAATCATTGTAAACAAAGCACAGGAATTTCAAAATACTGTTTGGGGTGGGGCTGTTTAGTATATTGGCAAGTCGGTTGAAACAGTTCAGTAATTCCTGAAAGTCTCACTGAATTATAGCATAGTATGTGCTTATAGAAATAACAGTTATCAAGGAGATGTTTATTTACATTCTGAATAATATTTGGTTTAACAGATAGTGTAACTGGAAAGTGAAATCTTAAGCACTATATAATGGTATTTTGACATGTAATTTTATTTGACATCAGAAGAGTATGCAAGATGCTCCAGATGTTCCAAATATTCTCCATCTAAAATAATTTAAAAATAAAAATCTATAAGGTATAAGAATCTAGATTTCAAATACCTAGAAAATAATATCTGAGTGATCTTGAATACATAAAATATTACTTTAATTTTGAAATGTAGTTTATTTTTCTTATCCATAATGGTAGTAATTAAGATGAATAATATTAATTCATTTTGTTCCCTATTTAAATGAAACAGTACTATGCCTGAATCAGAATTTCCTGCATGCAGCATGGCTTCTAAGCTCACAAGCTTATTATGAGAGTAGTATTGGAAAGATATAAAGCATAGTGCCTGCCAATACTTAAAACATATTACATGCTGAGGCAATGCAATAAAAATGTTTAATAATTCTTAAGTGATAGTGGCAACCAATCTAAAGCAAACTCAAGTTACAGTTGAAAACACTTATCAATTGATATAGAGTTAGAAACCAAAATCAAAGTTTGTTCAATGTCAAGTTACTAAAATATTCATTGAAAACTCCAACAGCAAATTAAATTATAAGATGAAAATAAGAAATCTGACATACTATCTTTTTGCCAGTCCAGGCATAAAAGTAATAGGGCTAGAAATTCCAACTGAAAATTAACTGTATGCTTTTTCTCATATTGGAGAATCTGAATCCTAGAATATTTAAGCCTTGTCTTATATCATATTATGCATAAATAAACTGAAGCCCAAGAAAGCAAGGTCACAATGAGGTTAAGATGAAACAAGAAACTTGTTTTCTCTAGTCTCTTTACACTAGTGTTCTTTCAAGTATGAGTTATAAAACAGATATTTTATGTAGAATTTTTTTTAAAAAATTCTTATCATCTACTACCTAACATTAGTGGCAGACAGCATTGTAAGAATGAAGACCTGGGTGGTTATCAGAGTCCATGTTCTTCAGGGCTTGAGGCCATGCTTTTGGAAATCATTTCCCAGAGCCGGGGCATTTGAGGAGAGTACAGAAAAGCAAATGAATGGTGAATAGGAGAAAGGCCATCAGCCAGGCAGCTGCAGGTTAGACGGATGGATTGACTTCCCAGCAGAGCAGGGCACAGTTTGCTCAATTACCCTTTTGTACAGCTGGGAAAGAAAGACAGGAACATCAGAGACTGCTATCTCTCAGTTACCAATAACTTTTGAAAGAGGTATTTGAAAGACATATAAATGATATTTTCCACTGCCTCCCTGTGCAGGGAAAGCATTGTATGTCAAGTCAAAACTGAAATTCACTAGTAACCAAAATTAACAGCCATAGTCTTTGGCAACTATCTTTGGTCACACTATCACCTAGAATTGGCTTTGTACTTTGTATCAGAGCTTTACATGAGGTCCTTGATCTACTCATCAGTGTTTTCAGAAAGACTTCTGGATTCCCAAATAAATTCAGAAACTTCTCTTAAAAAGAAAAATTAGTACTGATTAAAAAGCACAGTATTACAGAACTTGTTATTAACATTTTATTTTTGCATTTACTTTTTCCAATCTCAAATTGGTAAGCACAAAGCTTAAGAAAACAAACAACAGTATTTCTTTAGGAGAGTTTAAGTTCCAGCTTTGGGTTTTTCTCTTTCTGTAGTTTATAGTGTGTGGCAAAAAGGGCTCGCGTGTGTTAAAGCCAAAATGCATTTTGCATTAACAATTTGCGTTTAGAAATCCAAGCACCTAACACCACCAGAGTTAATATTTGCTTTGGACTCTTCTACTTATTTAGTCTCAAGCTTTTCCAAAGAGCTAACACAAAAAGACAGCTTTCCTATTTGCCTAGTGAGTGTGTGATTTCACACATAGTGTATGATATGCTTCTACAGAGACTTGGTATTAGCTGTTTTTCATGTGAGCTGTGTACTTAGTTATGTTGGGAAATGTGAACTTTGTAGTTGAAAAATGCAGCAAACTGACTGAGGCTCATATCGATTCTACTTTAGAAATGTCTCCTGTCTCCTTTTCACTGTGCCTCTTTTTCATTCCCACTGCCCTATTTCACTATGAGTACATAACCTAAACACTTTAACACGATTACCTTCCCCGAGTCCCTTCTCCAGCTAGTTTGCCTTCATACTGCTGCCATAATTTTCAATAGCAAAAATCTGACCACTTCACTGCCATCCTTAAAATGAACCAAAAATCCTTTTGTTGACTCCACATTCTTTACAGAATAAAGTCCAAATTGTTTAAGCTATTATTTAAGGCTTTCAAAGTATCACCCCATTGCTTCTTTCCCAGGTGCCTTTCCTTCCATCACCTCCTACAGCCCCTAAACCTCAGCCACACTGGCTGAACATGATTATACCCTTGCTCCAGCCTTTCTCTTGCAAGGAGTTTCCTTCATCCTTCTTTCCACTTGAAGAAATTCTTATCTGTGATGATTCAGTATAAATGTCCATTCCAGGCAAAGCCTTCTCCAGCCTATTCATCAATCCCTCCTCTGCTCCTGCAACATTTGGCATATAATCTCCATTATTCCAATAAATAAAAGCCAAAGAGACATAATAACTTTCAGCACTCGTTGTATGAAAAGCACTTTTTTAAAGCAACTTATACTTATTAATTTAGTATATTCATGATAACACTATGAGCATGATACTATTAAAAGGGGGAAAGTTCCCTTGTCCCCCTCACAGGGCATGCGACAGGGGTAGTGGCTCGCTTCTTCAGTGCCCCACTGCTCAAACCTCTAGGGAGCACACAGACGGGCAGGTTATGGGGCAGGTTATGGAGCTCCGACCCTATCGCAGTGTCTTGTGCTCTTTTAGTTTCGCCGTCTATAGGCGGCTTGTGTTAACCAGCTTAATTAGACCTTCTACGTTGTCACAAGGACAGAGGGCTTTCTGTATCTCGGGTTCTTGCCTTGGTGTACCGGAAGAATCAGATCACGTATGGGCTTGGAGAATGAGTGCAAGCTTTTATTTAGTGGAGGTAGCTCTCAGCAGATGGGGGAAGCCAGAAGGAGGATGAAGTGGGAAGGTTTTCTCCTGGAGTCTGGCCACTCAGCGGCCTAGCCTCTCCTTCAGCTGCCCCCGCCAACTCCGCGTCTGTTTCTGCAAGCCCACGGCCTGCCGGCCTGCTGGTGCCTGTCAATACATACCTCTTGACGTCCAGCTGCTCGTTTGTTCCCCCCACCTTCCCCCCGCCGATGTGCTGCTCCTCCAGACGACCACCTGTGTGTCTCTGCCTGCTAGGGTCTCAGGGTTTTTGTAGGCCCAGGATGGGGGCATGGCAGGCCAGGGTGGTCTTGGGAAATGCAACATTTGGGCAGGAAAACAAAAATGCCTGTCTTCACCTAGGTGTGGGGACACAGGCCTGGGGGTGGAGCCCTAGCCAGGGACCACGTCCCCCTCTACCCAGCTCTTCCCTTCCCCCTTCTGTATCATTTAAAGGGACCACGCTCTTCCCTACCCAGCACTTCCCTTCCATATCACTATCATTGTCCTCAATTTTACAGCTGGGAAACATTAGTGCATATTGGCTAAGTAACTCACTAGAAGTCACCTAGCTTATTAGTAGCAGAGCTGGATTCATCCTTACCAGGTCTGAGGCCAGAAACAATGCCTTAATTGCTACACTCTGCTGCTAATTATGTTTCATTTCTGTCTTCTAGATTTTTATCTCCTTGGAAGAGGTAGCTTATTTATATGTATATGTTGTATTAGACCGTCCTCTCATTGCTATAAAGAACTACCCGAGACTGAGTAATTTATAAAGAAAAGAGGTTTAATTGACTCAGTTCCACCAGCTGTACAGGGAACACAGCTGAGGAGGCCTCAGGAAACTTGCAATCGTGGCGGAAGGTGAAGAGGAACCAGGGACATCTTACATGGCCAGAGAAGGAGGAAGAGAGTGATGAGGAAGCTGCCACAGGCTTTTAAACCACCAGCTCTTATGAGAAGGCACTATCTTGAGAACAACAAGGGGGAAATCCACGCCCATAATCCAGTCACCTCCTACCAGGCCCCTCTTCCAGCATTGGGGATTATAATTAGACATGAGATTTGTGCAGGAACACAAATCCAAATCATATCATATGCCCAGCAGGAGTATAGTATCTGGACATTTTAGCCAATCAATAGCTTTATGTCCAATTTATCTGAATTAATACGAATCAGAGCCTTTTAGATTAAGGAAATTTTATTTTTAAAAATAAAAATATTTTCACAGAAAAACATTCTTAGAAAAAATATTGAAGACTGTTTGGCACAGATCAGTAATAAATAACTTATTAAATTCTAATCAGATGTTTAGCATATATCTTTTACAGTCTTTGGATTATATCAACAATATTAGATAAAGATATAACCTACACTATTCTTCAGATATATTTAATTTTTTTCATTTTCAAAAGATTTTATTGGCTTTCCCACAGAAATCATTATAAATATTCTCATAGCTACAAAGGCTTTAGAACAAATAGAAAATTTCCATAACTTTATCTTTCTGAAGTATAATTGTGTTGAAGTATGATCAGCGATTTTTATTGATCTTATGTGTTTACCTTGGTGACTGTTAAATAAGATTTTGTATTGGAAATTTTCTTTGTTGAACAGCTCCCTGTTTTTAAAATTAGAAACACAAATTTATGGATTTCTACATAACAAACTCTCTAAAATGATACTCTTTACCTAAGAAGTATGTAATATATGCCTGTTAATTAAACATGTACTAATAGTTATATTTGCATGTTGAGGCTTCCTGCAATTCACAAAACATAAAGAAAATGTTTTAAATTGATTCTAGGGGTGGTGTTCTTATTAGCTGTTGTAAATACACAGAGAGGTAGAATTGTAGCTGAAGAACACACACTTATAGCATATTTTTGTAGGACTCAGGTGGGAATGAACTTGAAAATTACCATTGGATTTTCAGACAGTAATACAAAGTATTTCAGTCTTTTCCATGTGGTTTGTTTGTTTGGTTTCCAATTAATTACTTCCTGGGGGAAGCATTGGGAGTTGTTTCAGTTATAGATTCATAACAAAATGAGATTCATAAACTAAATACATGATATAATCTGAAGCCCTGCTAGGACTCTTACAGCTCGTCTTTATAACCTAGTATTCCTTTAATGAGTAGGAACAGTGAACTTTTTTTTAAACCCAAATGACACTATTGTCTTTAAAAGCTGTTAAAAATAGCAGAGCCAAAGACGTAATATTATAATATTCAGTTAGGGGAATTTTGAGTGTCATTATCTCCCTAAGCAGTAACCATGAACAAATTATCAAAGCCATTGTCTCTTTTAAAATGGAAAGATGAACCAAATGTATTAGCACCTCAGTGGGATTGGGAATATGTGAAAAACATAATCATAAAACAGCAATTGCTAAGCCTCTACTCAAGACACTCTTGTTCATCAGAGGTTTTGGTGCTGTTGGAAAGTCAGCACCTGCTGAAATCTGCCTGGGGATTCAGCTGCCTAGACTGGAATCACCTCTGCTAATGGATGCCAAAGCTTTGCCCTTGAAGATGTTTGTGTCCTTCCCTCTCCCTATACCAGTGGAATTTAGATGAGACTGTCTAAATGTAGAATATATTGCATAGGCTGAAGAAATTGTGTGTATCACTTGTTTTTAATTAATAGACTATTTTTATCTGTTCTTAGTTTATGGAAAAATTTGAGTGGAAAGTAAAGAGCTCCTATATAGGCCCGCAATTCCCTGCCTCCCCACCCCCTTGCCCCTAGTTTCCCCTATTATTAACATCTTTGCATTAGTGTGGTACATTTGTTGCAATTGGTGAGCCGATGTTGATACATTATTATTGACTATAGTCCCTAGCTTACATTAGATTTTCCTGTTGTGTTGTACATTTTATGGGTTTCGACAAACACTTAATAATGTTTATTCATTATCATATCAGAATAATTTCACTGCCCTAAAAATGTCCTGTTCTCCGTCTATTCATTCTTTCCTCCCTCCCTTGAGACCCTGGCAACCACTGGTCTCTTTACTATCTCCATAGTTTTGCCTTTTCCAGAATGGCATATAGTTGGAATCATACAGTATTTAGCCTTTTCAGACTGGCTTCTTTTACTTCGCAGTATGCATTTCAGGTCCCTTCGTGTTTTTTTCATGGCTTGCTGGCTCATTTCTTTTTATTGCTAAATAATATTTCATTGTCTGGATTACCACAATTTTTTCATTCATCTGTTGAAGGACATCTTGTCCAAGTTTTAGAAGTTATAAGTAAAGCTTGTATAAACATTCTTGTTCAGGTTTTTGTGTGGACATAAACTTGCAACTCATTTGAAAAGTCGTTAATTGTGAAAAGTGTTTTTGACAGAGAGGAAAGACACAGGTCTTTAAGTTAGAAAGACTTTAATCTCAACCTTGCCATTTTAGTCATTCAGTACGTTTTTATTGGAGGTCTACTGTGCTACCCCTGCCGTTTTTGGTGTTAGAAATGCATATAGGGCTCCTCTGCCTGTAACCTGAGTGCCCCACCTACATTAAAAAGCCTCATTAGACTTCTGGTTCCTGATCTGAAAGATGCCTATCTTCTTGAATATTCATGATTTTCTATTTTATTTTGAAAATTAGAACAGCTGCCACGGACAGGACTTGTATTTCCTGGGAGCAAGTGCCAAATTGCTACATAGCATCCCATTGAGAAAGAAGTGATAAAATGTGTTAGTTCATTTTCTTTCTAGTCCTTCTAACCTATATGTTTTTTAAAATATTTGTCTAAATATGAAAAGCATTTTAATACTTTCCAAAACAATATTCTTGAATTATCCACAATATAAAATGAAATAAGGACATGGAATCATTTTTTGTATATCTAATAGTGATGAGAATTGGACTTGAGCTGAGAATTCATTTTGAGCTCTATCTCCATCACATACTGGCTTCGTGATATTGGCTTATTCTCTTGACTTTGCAGGGAGAACAGTTTCCTATTGGTAAAATGAAGGATAATAATATTTGTTCATCATACAGGTTTCTTTGCTTATCATACAGGACTTTTGTGAAGCCCAAATGCAAAAATGTACAATGTATATAAAAGAATGTTGCAAACTATAAAACACCATAAAAACATTCAGTATTATTACCAATTGCTTTAATGTATTTCTAGGTCTATTTAATCTTTTATTGTATATATTTAATCTATACAACATGAGGTTTTGATATACATATGCCTTGTGAAATGATGACTACAGTTAAGCAAATCAACATATCACTCTCCTCACATAGTTATCATTTTTTGTGTGTGATGAGAGTACCTGAAATCCACTCTCTTAGAAAATTTCTACTATACAGTACACTATTATTAACCACAGTCATCATGCTGTACTTTACATTTCTAGTTGTGTCCTATACAGTTGTAACTTTGTAGCCTTTGACCAACATCTCCCCACTTCTGACATCTTCCCACCCCTGGTAATCACCATCCACTCTCTGTTTCTGTGTATTTGCCTTTTCTAGATTCCACATATAAGTATGATTATGTAGCATTTGTCTTTCTTTGGCTTATTTCAATTAGCATAATGTTCTCCAGGTTCCTCTGTGTTGTCACAAATGGCAGGGTCTCCTTTGTTGAGGCTGAGTAATATTTTATTGTGTTTGTATCTATATAGACAATTTATTTATCCTTTCATCCATAAATAGACACTTTGGTTGTGTCCATATCTTGGCTATTGTGAATAATGCTGCAGTGAACAGGGGAGTACAGGCATCTCAGTATTGATTCCTTTCTTTTAGGCATATACCCAGAAGTGGGATTGCTGGATTATCTGGTAGTTCTATTTTAACTTTTTGAGGAACCTTCACACCGTTTTTCATAATTGCTGTACCAATTTACATTGCCACCAAGAGCGTACAAGGATTTCCTTTTCTCTACATCCTCATCAATACTTGGTATCTCTTGTTTTTTCAATAAGAACCATCTTAACAGGCATGAGATGATATGTCATTGTGATTTTGATTTAATTTCCCTAATGATGAGTGATGTTGAGTACCTTTTCATATATCTATTGGCTAATTATATGTCTTCTTTGGAAAAATGCCTATTCAGGTCATGTGCCTGTTTTTTTTATCTGCTTCTCTGTGGGTTTTGTTTTGTTTACTACTAAGTTTTATGAATTCCTTACATATTTTGGATATCAACCCTTTATCAGGTATATGGTTTGCAAATATTTTCTCCCTATTCATAGGCTGACTTTTTATTTTGCTGGTTGTTTCCTCTGCTGTGTAGAAGCTTTTTAGTTTAATATAGTCTTACCTGCGTATTTTAATTTTGTTGCCTGTGCTTTTGGTGTCTTATCCAAAAAAATTATTGCCAAGTCCAATGTCAAAGAGCTTTTCCCCTATGCATTCTTCTAAAAGCTTTAAGGTTTGTCTTACATTTAAGTCTTTAATCAATGTTAAACTCATTTTTTGTATATTTTTTATTTTTAATTTAACTAACCCCTTACTAAATTGGGGTGGGATTTTTTCATCACATCAGTACTGAAATCTTTATTTTCTGGAATTTCATAGTCTACTAATGTCAGTGGGTCAATACGGTTATGATCTGCCTAATTTCCTCCAGATGTTAGGATCCTCTGAAAAGCAGATGTCAAAATGGATTTAACATACAAAGAATGTATTAGGAAAAACACCTATGCAAGAAAAAATGAGGAAGAAGATGGGGGTGGTCGGTGTGGAGAATAAGCATACCGCAGAGTAAAGATGGTCCCAAGTGAAAGGGAGAGGATATGAAGGTTGGGTGGAAGCGTTCTAGACTGTCATGCAGTCTAAGGAAGGTTCATCAGGGAATCGGGGTATCCGTGAGCTATAATCAGCCCTCATAGGAGTCTCTTGTAACCAAGAAACTTGCCTGTCTTAGTATACTTGTTGCATTCAATTATTAGCTGGGAACAGCTGGTAAAAGTGTAACCTTAGCACAAATCTGGTAATAGACAGAATGTGGCAGTTGGGTAAGTTATGTTCCCAGCAGTTGGAGATCTATGAGGAACATTTTCATGTCCACTAGACTTCACAGAGACTTTTTTCCCTAAATAATAAACAAAAGTGATGAACCACTTATTTAATAATGTTTTACTAAGGATGTGAAGAGGAGAAGCAGAGACAAGTGAGACAGAATGCAAATATTACCAAGTGTGGGAAACCATCTGAGAGCAGGCACATTCCCAGAAGAGGGGTTCATGTCAGGGTTTAGTAACACTGTCCTCATGTTCGAGTTCCTGTGTAATCAGTCTACAGGTGCCATTGACCTGCTGTAAGAACTTGTTTTCCTTATCCAGTGTTTTTGTTTATGTTTTACCACCTTGTTTGTGATAGCTAGTCTTCCAAAAATTCTTCTGGGCGGTGCATTTAACCATTTCCTAAATTGCAGAATAAATATAAGACATTAAAAAACTACATTTGGCCTCTGGGATATAAAATGAAGTTTTCAAAGAGTTAAAATCTTTGGGAGTACTGGAAAATTTCAAAACGGGAGGCACCTTCAGATGCAGATTTCATACCCTTAGAAATGATAAAACTACCTTTCAATACAGCTTCCTATATTTCTCATCTCTACTCATTGCCTTCCTAAATTATCTTGTTCTTTTTCCCATCTTTCCTCCCACTCTTCAATTAAGAAGAATGACTGTCAGGAAAAATGGAACACATGAAAAGTTATTGTTAAAATATTAATAGATGTCAGTATGACTCTCTAAGTTCATGCATTCCAGAGTTACCCCACTGGGCTACCATTGTGGGCAAGCTACAATGAGCATGACTCTCCATTCTCACTCAGTCCTTGAGGTGACACACCATCTCTTAAGGCAGAAAGATGATTTTATCTTCAGATAGCAGATTATACTGATTTCCCAAGTGTATGTGACTATTTGTTTTATTTTTAATTTCCTCTTTCCTGTGCTTTTAGTCTCCTTCAAAAATTTATCTTGGACAAACATTCCATCTCTCCTTTCTCCTCAAAGCTAGAAAACTAGATCTTATAGTAAGCTGACTTCAGTTCTTAAAGAAAGGACAAAATGCCATAGAAAGCCGTAATATTCTTCCTATGACCTTAACTTATATTGCAACCCCTCCAGGGAGCTGTCAATTAAAAGCATGGAATTTACACAAATCTAAGTCTCGGAAATCAGCCAGCAAGCTGCACCAAATATGTGGAAAAATCTATTAAATAGCTTTTTAACCTTTACTACTTACCATGTTTGATTGTACAAATCTATATCCTCAGGAGACATAGGCAATGCTAATTGTGATTCATGTGAAGAAAAGAGCAAAAAGGTATTTCAACTGATATAAACATTTTTCAGTATGAGGTTAGATACTTAATGTGGAATATACCAGAAGCTAGCATACCGGACTAGATCACTCAACCAATTCAGAAGCAGAAATCTACTACTCTGCTCATTTAGTAGCCCTAATAATCCACTTTTTTATCCCTGGTAATTCACTACCTCAATTATAACACAGCATTTTCTAAGTCTGTAATTCTAATACTATTGAATATTACTTTAAAAGCTAAAGCAATACAGTTCATGTAAGCTATTATTAACAGATGCTTTCTGTGAAAACAATGATGATCTTATTGGCTAAAAGTCTTTGTGATATATTTTTTCTAAAGCATTTTGAGGGATATTAAAGCATTAGAAACTTTTGGTTTTGGAGTTTGGTAGTGTTATCAAAGATAGCTTTGATTTTCTCAAATCAAGAGATCTTTTTGTTGTCATGACATTAAACTATTTGCAGAAAACAAATTTAATAATGTCACAATAACTGTGAGTTCTTTCTGAAGACAGACTTCATTCTAAACTCCAAATTTTCCATTACTTCAGATGATTCAATTAAGATCCTTTGGGAAGCATTATGCCTGCCTTTCTGTTGAAATGTTTTTACGAATGCAGTACACTCTTCTTCTTGCTAAAATAGGTGAATTGTATTCATAATTTCAATACAACTTATGTGGTAAAATGCACAGGAAAGTGTAATTTTTCTCCATTTAAGTAGAACTGATACTCTGAAATAGTTAAACTTAGATTTTCATGCTCAGAAAATGTACAGAGCAATAGAATCTAAATATATTCATCTGTCCTTTGCATTACTTAGCCTGAATTAATATAACTAATATTTCAAATATAAGTTTCTACATCTCCAGTTAAGCTAGTTCCCAAATGAAGTCAACAGGATCAGAATCTAGACTAAATTGAAGAAAATTTAGTTCTTTAGCAAGAATTAAATTGAGAAAATGAATCAGGGGAGAGGGGAGCAGAAGGAAAATCATACTTTGCTAGTTATTTTTATTGTATTGACTAATTATCTGAGTGAAGGACTCTACTTATATGAGCACCTTAAGGACTCAGCCTCAAATCCTAATTAGAAGTATAATAGTAGGAAATAGTCAACTTTCGGAACTTCAGTTAACACAAATTATTAATTACATACATGTTTTTGAGCAAAATATATAGTATAAAGAAAAACATACTTAAACATTTCTCCTGTTTAGTCCTCCTTACTATGAAAATCTACTTTAAAACAAAATAGAGGCGATTGTTCTTTTTACACACAAAATCTAGATTTTTTTGGTTCATTGTATTCTTTCTGCCTATCCCCCCCAAAGCACCCCCTTCCCACGCATACAGAGCATGAAGTATTTTTAAATGTTTTTTATTTAAGTTTATCACCACTTAAGGGCCTGTGCCTTACTTAGCATGTTGGCATAGACCCCATAGCCTGGCCAAAAATACTCATCATTTAGGAATGATGACTTGGTAACACAGGGGTTTCATTGTGGACAAGTATGTGGAATCTCAGTCTCCTGCTCAGAAAAAAGAATGTGAGGATCATTGCCAAGGAAACCCTAAAGCCCAGTGCTTTTAGTGACATTTCAAATGTAAGTCTAGATCTGTGTACTTTTTTCCATCTATATTATATTCCATTAAAATGTTTTTAAAGCAAAAATAGCTTTTGGGGGGACAATTTTAAGAGGGGACAATTTTGGGGGAACACTAATCTCAAATCACCACAGTGCTCCCCTCTCACTACCCTGTAGCTGTATTCCCTAAAATTTCAAAGAATAGTATAGTAGATGCCTTAAAGTTCATTCCTGGATCTCAAGTTAAGAAATGCTAATGAGTGCAGTAGAATCTGCATATATTCTGATTTAAAATTCATGAGGCAACTCAAAAAATAAAAATAAGGTTTCACAACTTCAGTCAATTCTGTTGCTTTTTGATCATTTCTAAATAAGATTTTTGCTTATAATTTAAAAATGGCCCCAAAAGGAATCCAAATGCTAGTGTTGATGCTGAAAGTAAAGAGAAAATAGAGATCTAACATTTTATTGCATTTTATTAGAGAAATTTTATGTGCGCTTATGAATTTGGGAAAACTGCCAGTCTTAGGACATGTTCCTTATGAAGATCAAAGATCTACTCTGTAGAAATTGTTATAATAAAAATTGAGTTTGCCCAAAGAGAGAAAACCAAGCGTCACTCAGTGCTTCTCATGCACTGTGCTATTGAGGTAGTTCCTATCTTCCCATCTATAGAAACCTCAATTCAGTGATGAGGTCAAATGAAATTTCCTCCAAGAAGCTTTTACCAATATCCTCAATCTCATTGCTGGGATTCCTTTCTATACAGTCCCACAGCATTTGGTTTACCAACCCAAAACCTCACACTGATTTCATCTTGTTTCTTAAGGAAAAGGCCTCTGTATTTTACTTATACATTTTCTTCACAAAGCACACCTAAAACTTGCCCTGTAGCAGGTGTCCAATAAATATTTGATGCATGATTGAATGATTCGATGATTTTTGAGATAGGCCTTAAAGGAAACATAGGAATCTGAACAGAGTAGATGGGGCCAAGGAACCATAAAATTAGGTAGAGATGGGGTAAAGCCTAAACTAATTGGGAGAAACTGTGACGTATCCAGCCCCATAGATCATTTCATGCTTGTAGAATAACAAACTATCAGGCTAAGGTAAATTAAGAAGGTAATTTTCTGCACAGCAATGTAAATATCGATAGTGTATTTTTAAAACTTTATTGTTTGTGTAATTCTTTTCTATGACATAATATGGATTATTATATTGGCTTATTGTTTAATAAAAAGATAAATATTTAGAGCATTAAATTATATCAAACTTGGAAGTAAAATAAAGAGTACCTATCTTAAAACATAATCCTGGGTACTACTAGTAGTTTATAATTTAGTAACATGGGCATTTTCCCTCTGAAGATTATTCCACAGTGGCAAGTGGTGGGGGGAGGAGGAAGGAATAATTACTATTTATCTTATTTGTAGGCCTCACTCAATTATATCTACATTATAATGTATAACACTTGAGAAAGGCAATGCAGAAAATGAATTTTGAATAAACATATCCCTACTTCAGATGCAGCAGACCCAAATTGGCCTCTAACTACCCCCATTTGTTGAAGGAAAATTAACAAAGAAAAAGAAACGAGAAAAAGCCCTTCTTTCTATTTCACAAAATGACATTAGATTTCATCAGGTAACTTCTCTAACTCAGCATCCCTTCCAAATTACTTGGCAGTTATAGCCCTTTGTATCTCACACACACACACATGCACAAATGCACACACAGAGAACTTACTTTATATACCTCATGACCTTGATGAGAATCTTAAACTCTTGTTTATACAATAAAGTATGGGAGAAGCTGAGAGATAAGATAACTCCATGTGATTGAATCATAAAATCTCAGGTTTGAAAAAAATACCTTTTTCACTCTATCAGTAGAACTATGATATTTTATCAGTCTTTGTCATTTTTGTAAAAAGATTGGGAATCCACTTCCTGAAGTCAGGAATTAATCCCTCATTGTGATTTAATATGTTTCTGTGTGGCAAACAAATTTGATAATAACCAGATACTATCATGTATCATTCTGCTTCTATCCCTTAGCTTGTGTTCAGTGATTATTTAGTCCTATGCTAAGATTCTATTTTTCCAAAAATTCCTTTATTGGAAACCCAGTTTAATCACATGTGAGAAACCAATGGCTGAAGGTTTAAACAAGTGATTCTGATTTGCATAAGGTTTGGTGGGCAATTTTGCCTCCCAATGGGTATTTGTCATGCCTGGAGACTTTTTGGCTGTCATAACTGGGGGAAGAGTGGTGCTGTCATCTAATGGGTAGAGGCAAGGCTACTGCTAAACATCCTGTAATATACACAGCAAAGCACTCTCACGATAAAGACTTATTTGGTCCAATAGTGACCAGGTTGAGAAACACCGCTATAAACTAGTGTTACAAAATATTTGCATTTTCTTTAGAGTTGTACATATCCTAATTCATTAGTGAAACAAATAGGAGCATTAGCATGTCTGTCAAAATTAGTAAAAAAATATGAAAGTAATTTCTAAGGATAAACTTCTCATTTCTATCTGCCTCCTCAGGGACAGTTCATTTGTTCAAATAAGTCTCTGTAAAATTTTTGTGAAACCGGCATTTAGTTCTTATAAGTTCTGAGTCCATTGTAGTTGCAGTTAACCCTTTTATGACACTTAGCAGAGCTAGAGCTCAAAACTTCTTTTACGGATGATGATGCTATTAATGTATTGGTTCAATAAATAATAATTAACCAGGCTAAATTACAGCATGTGAAAATAGACTGTCTAATTCTCATTCTATTTTCTGTATTATTTGATGTTCTTCTGCTTGAAATGTGGTAGCAGATTCTGAATTTTAATCTACCTCAATTCAAATGTCTATATGTCAGGAATGCAAAGAGAATGATTCCTCTGAATTTGGCAGTTAGTTTTATGGAAAAAAGCATTTGTCACCAAAATGGCCAAAATTACATTTTTATTATTTCAATTAGAAATAAAATGTTTACCTAACTTCAAAACATTACCAGAGTCTGTTTTCAGTGCCTCTTTTAAATCATTTTCTATACAAAACATATTACTGTAACTAGCTTATATTTTATCGTCACTTGCCTGAGATTCTATATATCAGAATTACTTCTTTAAGAGATTTTTCTTTTCCTGTGCTCACCGCATTGAATTTCCATTAATACTTCTATGTAACCTTTGTAATTCTATTGTTCTTTACCTTTGGTTAATAACCTTTTATTTAAAAATGCCTAAATAATTACACACTGCTTCTCAAGTATGACACATTTTATATCGTATTGTATGTTAAGACATTTTAATAGCAACAGTAATAATAAGTCATAAAATGTCTTAAATTTATAAACACATTTAATACAGAAGGTTCTAGTCCAATTTAAAGTTTCTTTTGACCTGTGCTTATACACACAGCCATAACACATACAGAACACACTTATACATTCCCACATTGGTTTACACTTGACATTTAGCCTCTTTCAGGAAGGATGTCACAGGCATTCTCTATGTCCAGTAGTGCCCGATAATCTCTAGGCTACAAAACCATGAATAATTTAACTAACAAATATTACAGGGAGAAAATTGCAAGGGAATTCTAGTAAGCTAAACTCAATTTTTAGACTTGGCAATTCAAAGATAAAAAGCTGTTTCTTCTATGAAAAATGTAAACAGAATCATTCGAGTTGACAGGTACTTTGGGTCTCACTGGCACTTCATCTCAAAGATTAAGATATCACTAGAAATTAGGACGTAATTTATCACCAAATCACCATGGTCTTTGTAGCGACTTTATCCCTAGGGGGCGCGAGATGTTAGCTCTCCCACAGATGCAAGCCTTCAGTCCTTCTGTCAGATGAACTTGGGAGTCAGTATACTCTCACAAGAAGAGAGAAGTTGATTATTATAGCAAACTTGAAAATTGATTCTAAAATAAGCACGATTATGGCTTCTAACATGCCATCCAACTTACTGCCACTCATTCTGCCCTAGGCCTTATGTCTGTAATTGTTGGCTTTTTACCTACTGCCCTCTGTCTAGTGTGGTATCTTATTTCTTTGTGTTCGTCCTGCTCTTCAAAGTTCTTTCCTGGCTGAGGATTTGGATTTGGATTTGGAGCTGTCATTAAAAGACACCATTCATGAATTTCCAATACTTGAATAAACAACTTTTACTTTACGGTCATCACAAGTGAAGAAAGGGACATTTCATGATATCATTTGCAAATTAGGGAGCACAAGTAATCAATCTTTAATTTCTCTTTAAAGGGAAGGGAAAATGTTCTCTCTTGTCATTCCATCTGTGAATTCCTATAAAATGTGTTTGCTGTTTGTTTCTCCTCAAGACAGAGCTTGCCACCCAAAATCAAAATCCAAGTTCTCTACACATCCAAGATAAGATATGAATGGCTTTAGAGTATGTGGCAGAAATGAGAATTCTCAAAATTCCAGTGTTGTCAACTGCTCTCTGATTTTCCAAAATGTTAGTTTGATAACCAAAATGGAAAGAACTCCAGAGTCATTTTAGTAGGTGCCCATTAGATGCTAGGCGTTGTTTCTGGAGATACAAAGCTTAAAAATACATGATCTCTTCCCTGTTCTGATTGTGCTTTCATCATGCCAATACACTATGTATTTGAAATTCATAGAGCTTTAAGACTCATTATAAAATATTATGTATATGTAGCACATTAAAGTTCTATAGAGAAGAGAAAAGAAAAATGGTCTGTGAGAAAGGGCAAAGCATTAAATTCTTGGAAAAGGAATTTTCTTATTTCCCTTTACCTGGCAAAGGATTCACTTCATTGGTACCTAAGCTCTGTAAACTGTTTTCACTCCTTGGCCAATCATGAAAACACTGTTAGTTGCCAAAGGAAGGTATGATTTCAAATAATAGGAGACAATTACAGGTGCATGCCCTGACATAAATTAAGGTATAGAGATGGATCCTCTCAAAATTATTACATATTCAAGTGCCTTGTTATAAGCTGATGAAAAAACAAAATATGAAATTACAAAATGGTTTCCTTGGCTTTGCAGACCTCTACCTGTGAAGTGTATGAACAAGACTTAATACACACAGCAGAAATTCCACATTTAGGAGCCAAATATCACAGAGAACAAGTAATGTCATGTGCAATAAAGCAATTTCCTAAATGTTATTAGTCTGCATGTCTGCAGCCACCTGTCTAAAGCTCCTTTATTTTTATTTTAACAAAGTTGAATAAAAAAATTTCTTCATTTACAGTCTTATGCTTGGTTTGATGTTAAAAGGGATTATAATTGCAGTATAGAGAACACAAAACAATTTTAAAATTATAGAGATAAATTTTTATTATGAGACTGAACATATGATAAGCAATTTGAAGTAAACCTCATGTCTCAAGTAGTAAATGAAAATGCATTCTCACTTTGCATATTTGGTATTCTGTCTTAACAATGTTAAAAATGCTGAAAACTAGTTGTTATGTTGCATATTTACATGAAGTGTGTGTTCTTTGTTATGTTTCTGTTCACTGGGGCAAAATTCTTAACCTTAAATGAAATTTTGGTATACATGGTGATTGATAGATAACAGTCGAAAGATGGTATCCTCCCAGTCCTGTTTCTTCAGAAAGTCAGAAGATGGTTTTATTTATGTGTTGCAGATTGCCGTCGCTTTGCATTTTAGCACCACCTGGTGGACAAAATATCATTTGTTTTTTTCTCTACTGTTTAAAGTAGCCCCTTCACACTCTATACCCGATTATGATACACCTTAATAGACATTCAGCTGTGTAAGTTCTAAATTTTAAAGATTGTTGTAAATAAACTAAGGTTAAAAAATTGAAATGTTTCCCAAGTACTATAACCAATTTAAATGCCTGGGTTTTTTTAACCTTCATAAATATATCCAGATTTGAATAATGCTTTTCATTCATATGCAAAAATTGCTTCTTTCCACATTTTAATTTTTTATTGTTTATATTTTTTCTTAATATAGAATTAAATAAGATGAGGCAGTTTTCTGTATGTACAAAATTGTGGTTTAAATTATATTGTCTTCCAAAAATTCACATAATCACTTTGTAAATAGCACTTTATGAAGCATGTTCATACTATAAATTCTTACTATGCTAATATTTTATACAAAATTAAATTAGTATTTTAATTTATACTACTACAAAATAAGCCACTTTCCCCTTATAAATAAAATTCAGTTGTGGTCTTATGTGTATTAATTCTCAGTTTTTAATAGTTTTTTGAATTTTACAGAAGAAAAATTTGATAATATTTTCAAATGAAAAACACAAATATAGTTAAAGCTAGTTTTGAGAATTTTAATCATGTTAGTCTTTGTGTAGTCCCACATTTCTATAAAATATGGTGGAAATTATTTCTATGAAATACAGTAAAGAAGATAATTCATCTGCAGATTCCACGATGTTCCTTTGGAATACACCACTTACCTGTTCTCTAGTAAAATTGGAGATCTGCAAATTTTGATTGTGTGATAGTCAAGGATTCAAACATTCAGTAGCTAAATAGAAAGGTGGTAATTTTTAAATGGAAAATATATTCTAGTCTCATACCTTTTGTATACCATTTAAAATAAAACTATAGCAGATGACAACCTTCATCGACATGCATCTTGAAGTTATTTGTCATTTCAAGAAAGCATTTAAAATTTTGTTCTCTCTCTCTTTCTCTCTTCTTCCTTTTTTTTTTTCCCCCAAAGGCCTTGGATGGTATACTGTAAATTCAGCATATGGAGATACCATTATCATACCTTGCCGACTTGACGTACCTCAGAATCTCATGTTTGGCAAATGGAAATATGTAAGTGTGACCTACCTGGGACTTGGTTAATTGCCCTTGTTCTTTTAAATAAAATTCTTTCTGTGAGTAACTGTGAATTTCAAATTAACCTAAATGCAATATTAAACTGTGAGTACAAATGTAGGAAGGTAAAATTGTGTGGAATATGGCAAAAAAATAATTCCTATCTTACATAACAAATGATATTTTAAAATAAAGCCAATAAACACATAGTTCTTAGAATGTATTAGTCTGAAAGATTCCACCTTAAGTGTTAGAGGCAAAGAAAAAAGCAGAGTTCCAGAATAAATCAGTGGATTATAGGACAGACCTCAGTGGAGGATGGCAACCTTTCTTCATTTGTTCATGTTCTACTTGATGTGGTTATTGCAAAGACAAGATATATCAGTAGATAGAGCCTTAGACAGTCTTTCGGAATTAATCATCAGTATTACAAGCTTGATTCTGGCATTTAGCCTTAAAAATGTGTTGATGCTATAGGTCTTTTTTATATTTAACGGTGTTGATTTTTTCCCATATTTCTTGCAGATAGTAAAATCAAATCTTCTCAGGTATGAAGGTACAAGTGGGTCTGAAAATGGAGGGTAGAGATCCTGGTAGGGAGATGTGGAATGGCTATGTAACTTTGAGTAATAAAATGTCTCAATTTAATTAATCAATATTAATGCAAAGTGTTTGTGTGGTACAATTTCCCAATGCTGGACCACAGGAGACTCATGACAGTCTGCAAGCTTCAAGTAGATATGTTTCCCTGGACACAATATCAAAATTTCCCTAGCTCCTTGAAATGTTAAAAGGTATTTGCAAAGGAAAAGAATTTGATGGTCAAATACTTTACAAAAAGTTTATTGCGGCCGGGCGCGGTGGCTCACGCCTGTAATCCCAGCACTTTGGGAGGCCGAGGCGGGTGGATCATGAGGTCAGGAGATCGAGACCATCCTGGCTAACAAGGTGAAACCCCGTCTCTACTAAAAATACAAAAAATTAGCCGGGCGCGGTGGCGGGCGCCTGTAGTCCCAGCTACTCGGGAGGCTGAGGCAGGAGAATGGCGTGAACCCGGGAAGCGGAGCTTGCAGTGAGCCGAGATTGCGCCACTGCAGTCCGCAGTCCGGCCTGGGCGACAGAGCGAGACTCCGTCTCAAAAAAAAAAAAAAAAAAAAAAAAAGTTTATTGCATCACTTCTCGGAGTCTTTCATATGTAAAATGCATTAAGAATTGTCTGAGGGTCATAGTTTGATTCATTGCTTAGATTTATTTGACCACACAACTTTTTTCCTCAGATATCTCCAAGAACAAACATTCTGCAGAACACACTGTAAGAAATGTGCTTAAGCTTGCACTCAAGGGGTGGTTTAACACAGTCTTTTAAAATATAGGTTCTGAAATCAACAGGTTCCACAATGTGCTCACTGTGAGATTCTGGGCAGAGGAATTAATCCCTATTTTTTCATCCATAAAATGAGATAAAAATATCTTCCTCATAGTGTTGTTGTCAGAGTACCCGAAGAAATTGATATCAAAATACTTACCTAGTACTTGTCGTGTAGTAATCATTCAACAAAGTGAACTCGTGTCTGTGATGCTGCAGAATCCTAACCATACTATGCTCGTGTGAGTGGGAAATGAAAGGAAAGGAAAGGAAGGTGGTAAGGCAGCACAGCATTTCTCTGTAGCCTCCTTCTATTTAGTATCCAGTTCACTCGAGGTAACTTTGAACTATTTCTGGTTTCCTATAAATGTGGAAATGTGAAGTTAAGGCCTCTGAGGACAGAGTCTATTAGTGCCAACAAAATTCCAAGTGCCTGGGAGACTACCACACAATGCACTTGTTCAATCAAATTTGCTGCCAAAACAAATGGAGTCAGGTGATGGCAAACTTTGATGATCATAGAAAATTCTAACTATAACCCAGGGAGTAGCATTCACCCAGGGAGCAGCACAGTTAGTGAAATGTGGGAGTTAGTAAACCCAGGGAGTAACACAGTTCAGTAAACTGAACTGGCACAGTGGCACTGGAAATCAAACAATAATGGCAATTTTCAAATTTTTAGTTCAGCAAAAGTCTTCAGCAATAAACTGAAATATATTTGAGGCACTATATGCTCTAAAGTCAATCTTGATTTGCAGAAATCAAACAATAATGGCAATTTTCAAATTTTTAGTTAAGCAAAAGGCTTCAGCAATAAACTGAGATACATTTGAGGCACTATATGCTCTAAAGTCAATCTTGATTGCAGAAATGCTAAAATAGAGCATTTGCAATGCTCTAATTTAATGTAACCACCTAAAAGACAAAGGAAAGTTTTGGAAAAATGAGCCGAAGTAAACATAGAGAAGAAATGGCCTGATTTCTCCTGGATCATATTGTAAACTCCCTGTGAATGGAGATTACAGCTCCCTATTCACTCCTCCCAACCCTACTCCTGACACCTCCTCACCATTATCTGCCATAGTGCCTGGTGCAGAAGAGGGATTGAAGGCTATCAAGAGTGGTACAGTGTAACCATAATGAGGCCAAGCTCTAAGCTCAAATTTTTGCTCTGCTAAGATTTCCCAGCCAAGACCTTGGAAAGTTACTTAACCAAACTCAACCTCCATGGTCTAGTCTGTAGATGAGGCTAATATTTAAGTTTAACTTATAAGGCTGTTATGAATATTAAAACCAATTACTGCATAGAAAGCCCAAAGAAGGCCGGGCACGGTGGCTCACGCCTGTAATCCCAGCACTTTGGGAGGCCGAGGCGGGCGGATCACGAGGTCAGGAGATCGAGACTATCCTGGCTAACAGGGTGAAACCCCGTCTCTACTAAAAATACAAAAAAATTAGCCAGGCGTGGTGGCGCGTGCCTGTAGTCCCAGCTACTCTGGAGCCTGAGGCGGGAGAATGGCGTGAACCCGGGAGGCGGAGCTTGCAGTGAGCCGAAGTTGTGCCACTGCACTCCAGCCTGGGCGACAGAGCGAGACTCCGTCTCAAAAAAAAAAAAAAAAAAAAAAAAAAAGAAAGCCCAAAGAAAACACCTGCCATAAAGTTAAGTGCTCAAAAATTAGTAACTATTATTTATTGAATAAGGGGATGATGAATAAGGTAGTGGTCTAACATACTTTGCATAATGAAGGAATGACTTAAGAAGAGGATTTGCGTTGTAAACCTGTGATTAAAACAGTTAAGAAGAATATTGTTGATGTATTCAGATATTTAAGCAAATAAAACTTTTGGACTCCAATATCAACTTAGTAATTGATATTATTAATTCTTAAAACTGAATCCTCCATAGAATCCTAAAATTTGTCATGGACTATAACATATATCACATTTAATTTTCTCAAAGGTCTTGTAGGGTACATAAAGGAGGGACTGCCCCTGATTTTACATTAAATTGCTTATTAGGTGAGAGAATTTTTGTGGGACCAGAGGAAGAAATGCGTTATATGTCTCAGTGCTCTTGGCATAATTGTGTATGCAGAGTACATCTTATTTTGGTGATGTTTTTGTATGAAAGACTTTTGAGCTCATTGTTATGACTCAGCAAAACTATGGGTTGTATTAGTTAATCTGACTCATTCCTTAATGGACATAATTATTTTACA